>NC_000006.12:95070790-95222305 GCF_000001405.40 Homo sapiens | reverse complement strand
TAAACAAATGGGTGTGTATTTAAGGGAAGAGGGTAAAGAAAGAGCTAACAATAATTTGAAAGTTTCTAGATATGTGATGCGGATATCTATTAATATGTCTATATAAAATAATTAGAAGTAGGTCTGTGGTATAGAGGGAGAAAATTAGTTCAGCTTTTGAATGATTTAATGTTACATTCTTGAGGTTTGTTTATAAAATGCTATCCAGCAATCAACTGATAATATGAATCTGAATGTAAAGAGATGTCTCAGAATTGAAAAACTAGATTTGGGGCCCATCATCAGATGTTGGTTACATACATGAAACTAGAAGGATGGACGTTGCCATCCGTCCATCATTCCATCGTGCCATCAACAGTAAGACAGTTAAAAGAAAGAGGACAGTGGATGGTGCTAGGTTGATGCCAATGTTGAGAAACAGGGACAAAAAGGAGGCACCTGAACAGGAGTCTTAGAAGAACCAACCCAGAGGCACAAGGAAAAACACAAGTAACCATGCCAATGAAAGCCAAGGGTGGAGAGTTACAGAAAGAATAATGGCGAAGAAGGTCTATTACAGATAATAGCATAAAAACTGAAAACAGACAAATGGATTTGGCAAGAAGATTACTGATAATTTGTTAGGAACCAAGAACAATATTTGAAAACAAATTTTCTATGTTGGTTTTGCTTTTAAATACTTTTTTACATGAATGAAAAGAGTCTTAAGATAAAGAAGTGATATTTAAATTAAATAATGTTTTATTGTTTTAAAAATAGTTTATCAATATTTAGTTAACCATTTCATCTGTAATAGTGGTTTTCAAAACTACTATCTAAGAGATTTCAAATTATATTTCTGGAATGAATAAATAACATCAACACTTCAAAAATGTATCATCAATAGTGGGAAAATTTATGCTCTCAGCTTCAGGTGAGGTCTTATGATCTTTGCTTATTAAAGTGCAGCATGTAAAATCATTGCTTCTCTTAACCTTTAAGTAATATTTAGGTTGCTTTTCAGTTCCCTAAAATATAAAAGAGAATTGAAAAGATGTTATTTACAATTATAAACTGTGATAACTTTTGGAATATTTACCGGTGTTCCCATTCTTTATCTAAGCAGCTGGTAAGAATGCACCTCCTGGCCCCTCCTGAAGTTAGGTATGGTCATGTAACTGACTTCAGTTAATAAATGTTAATGAAAGTGCTATGTCTCACTTGTAGACAAAAGCCTTTGAAAGCCCATGTGCAATTCACCATATACGTTTATCTACCATAGCATCAAGCAATGCTTTAGATGTTGGATACATCATCAAGCTTAGGTCATTGAGAAAAATCCCTAGGCAAGCCGTGATGTACATATGTACACATAAACATTAATTATTTTATGCCATATTGGCTTCAGAGTTATCCATTATCTCAGCATAACCTAGCCTATCCCGACTAATACAGACATCACTGCATGATGAGTATTTTGGTGAAAGAGTTCCTTCTTGCCTAAACTCAGAGACCCCCTACTCTGAGTGGTTGTCCTTGGTTCTCCCTTCATTATTCCAGATATCAGATATGGTATGAAGGTAGAGAACTGTGTAAAGATATCAGGATTATCCCTAAAATTCTCTGGTTGTGCCTAAAATATATAACCGAAGCATATATTTTATCAGTGGAAATCTTCCAGATCAGTTACAAATTGGTGTGCCTTTTCAGAGAATGGACTATATTTTTGCTTCTTTGAATAATAGTTTAACCCAAAGAGATTCAATCCAAACACTGGAGAAAGTTTGCTGTCCTTTCTTCCCAGAATTTCTGTGTCATCAAAGGTTAGGCCTTGAAGATAAGGATGGAGACATATTTAGCCATGTGTTCTGCAGCGAATACACTATGGTACGCTTGTAACGTATTCTGACATCTTCCCTGTACAAGGCAGACCGTGCCTTCCTGATTGAACACCTAGGCAAATATTGAGTTGCTTGTACATTTTGAAGTCACATATAAGTCATGCTGTAGCTATTGTGTTTTGAGTTTTTCCCATTGTGATGATATGTGTATACTGACTAACACATATTGGACCATTTTATTTTTCTTACTTGGGTATAAACTTGCTGAAATAATAATTTTCAAAGTCGAAGAGTTATTGCATAGAAGTAAACTATGCTCTCTATCCTCTTAAAATTTGGTCTATGGATACTTTTTCAGCAGGAAGAGTATGAAAATGTTTGTTATAATGCTTGTTTTTTGTTTATAATTTCTATTTCTGCCATAATTTTGGCACATTGACTTTCTTGACCTCTATCTTCTATATGTGTGCTTACTTGTAAAACTTTCCCCAGTTTGAAAAAAATAATTTGTGTTAATGTCTGGCTTCTCTATATTCCTTGAATTCTGACAGTTTTCTTTGTACTTATTTTTAATTCAATCTCCTCCCTGGTACACCTCAGATTTGGAGCATAGCTTGGTTATTCATTCAAATATATTAAGAAATTACCTTATGCTAGGCACTGATCTAGGCTCAGAGATCTTGGGATAACACAGAACCCATAGTCAGGACAGATGTGGTGGCTCATGCCTTTAATTGCAGCATTTTGGGAGGCTGAGGTGGGAGGATCAATTGAGCCTGGAAGATTGAGGCTGTAGTAAGCTATGATCATACCACTGCACTCCAGCCTAGGTAACAGTGCAAGACTCTGTCTCAAAAACAAAACAAAACAAAAACAAAAACAAAACAACAACAAAAAGCAACTCATGATGAGGGATGAACAATGCCACAAGTGGTTATATTTAGATTGTGTTACAGTTGGCACATGGTGTTATAATAATAGTGTCCATTGCTCTGAGGGAGCACAGAGCTGCCAAAGGTTCAGAATGGCATCTGACGTGAAGATGCATCTTGCAAGATATGGAAAGTGCTTGGCTTGGTTAATCAAAGTTTTGCTTTTCTTGAAAAAAGTAAATATGTATGTGTATACATACAAATATGTATATATATAATGTATATATATATTTTTGTTGGTATATATGTATATATGTGTGTATGTGTATTGTGTATATATGTGTATATTTAGTGGAAAATCATAAACCTGGCAAATGTCTAGGTACAATTTATTTTGTAATTGCTACTCATCAGTAACTGATGTATGGAAGAAAACAAAAAATTTGGAGATTATGAGTAGGAAAAACTAGTTTGGACAAATTGGCTAATTATCCAAGTATCTATGTTCTCTTTGCTCTTTCATCTATCCATCATTCTGGAAACATATTAGTCACCATTCACGCAAAAGGATATTAATTATTGCATTTGCATTTGTGGTGTTTTTCTTAAGGCTTTACATACACAGATACACACACACCACACACACACACACACACACACACACACACAAATTTAAAAAAGCCTCTGGGTGACAAAAGAAGGCTTCCAGTGCATTGCAGAGTCACAGAATTGTGAATTGGTTTGAAGCTTGATGTAAAATGAGTGCGTATTTTTTAAAAGATTTACTCCACAAACATACACAAAGTGAATATATACCAAAATACTACTGTCACTAATAGCCTCATTTAATTTAAAATGTCAACTCTGACCTCATTAGTAGAATTAATATAATGGGGGAAAATAATGGGTAAAACAATATTCATGGATTTTCAGTTTCCATATCAGGTGAATGAGATCCAACTATTTTTTCAATACACACAAAGAAATTACATGCTGAAAAACTTGTTAGAGAAATAAATGTACAGACACAGATGATTTTAATTTGCTGAAGTTACTCAATTTGCTAATATTTTAATGTACTAAACCTTGGTGAAATCTTGCCAAAGTTTTCCATTTTCACTACTCTTTCTCATAGTAAAAAATAATCATTAAAGGTATGTTTCAGATTTTGTAAATCTTAAATGCCCTCTCAAATAAAACAACCATAAACTTGCTCAGGTTAATGTCTTGTTACTTGATAAATAGCAATGTGTATTTTTTATTTGTCTATGATTAATAGAATATCAGGACACATCATCAATCTTACATTTTTTCTAGTATAAGATAAAAATGCAAAGCATCATTATGACCTTTAAAATCAATTTGCCTCTTTGTTTGGGGGTATACTTTACTTATGCAGTTACATCATAGAAGATTTATTATTGAAGAAAATCTGGCTTGTCTGTTATTTTCTGAGTTTAACTCTGTTGTTGTTTTGTAATTTTATAAAATTACAGTACTTCATTTCTTTTTGTTCTGTCATATATTTAAAACTCTTATTGTTGTTAATAATTCTGTTGAATGTAACCTTCATACATTTGAGAGGCTTGGAATTCTTAACGCCAGAATACGTTTTCACTAAAATGTAAAGGCTGATATTTCTTAAAAGTAGCCTCCGTTAGTAAGAGAAAAAACACATTTAAGCATTGGGTTCTGCTATTTATTTCTCTCTGTAGGATATGCCTCTAAACAAGTTATAACTTTCTCAGAATACTTCATGTTTCTCAGAATAGATAAGTCACCCACCTCTTGGTAAGGAGGGAGGGTTGTATGTAATTATTTGTTGTTATTATTTGCACTTATGAGTTAGTGTTTGTGTTCATCCCATCATTTTACCCTTCCCCTTCCTTTCTGATTTTTGGAAGATCTTCAAGGGCAGAGACTAGGTTCTTTTCAAAATTTATCTTCACTTTGTTTACTGTAGGCACTTAAAAATAAATTCATAACTTAAAAAATGGTGAAGAAAAATAGGATTAAGAGTGTGTGTGCAGGGATTGGCCTTCAGGGTAGGAAATTTTTTATTTTAGTGGTGGTGGTGGTGGTAATTGTTTTTTTTTATTGATCCTAGAAAGAATGTTAGGAAACGGATTTTGAGGAGTGGACAAGAATATGTGTGAAAATTCATATTTAATTTGGGTGTTGTCCTTTCTAATGTAGGAGGTAAGGTCATCTACTGAGATTTATAGGGTTGTGAATGGGAAATGGACAGGAGAAAGTCAAGAGTTTTTTTGAGAGGGATGTTTAGTAGTGGATCGGGTGAATAAAGTATCAGGGTATCAGGAAAAAAACATATTAGACACCAATTTGTGCTAGTTAAGTGAATTTGATGTTTTGCCTTACCACAATATAGGCAGAAAGTCTAGTGTATTTCTAAATGGTTTTGGGTTATTAAAATTAAGATTGACTGAACTTTTGAAGGTCCTGGCAAAGAGTAGGTTGGCAGATATAAAGCAGTGAAAGAGATGATAACAATTTATGTGCAAAGACAGGGGCAGCACATAAAATACTAATGATAATGTTAATCATTTATAGTTTCTTCTCTGTGCCAGACACCAATGGGCTTTTTACATGTTTATCTCTAATCTTCTTAACAACTTTGAAATGACAATTATCTCTATTTTACAGATGAGGAAAATAAATTCAAAGAGGCTAAATAACTAAATATGTAGTAGAGCTGTGATGATCATTAGCATTTAGATTTATCTGACTCTAAATTACTTGTTCCTCTGGTTATGGCAAGCTGGAGAATTATAGACACCTGCCAAGGCTGAAAACAGCAGCAGTTTAAGCCTCTATTCACTCACTGTCATGACTTTACCTCCTGGGATTACTGAAGCAGTATGAACTTATAACATTCCTTCCATTAGCTCTATACATATTTGTTAAATCATGAGTCTCAATTTTAAATATAAAATGTAATGTAAATCAAATGCTACCAATTCAGTTTCTTTATTACCTGCTGAATTGTATTGCATGAAAACAGATAATAATGCCCCTAGAGTCCCTGAAACCGTAGGAACACTCCTTTGATTACCATCTGGAGCACACTAAAAATGTTACCTAACATCTTCCTTCCCTTGGTAAGGCAATCCCAACATTTTAGCTGGATACATAGCCACTCAAAATTTACTCCTTTAGAGCTGCTGGGGCCATAGTCAATTAATGCAATGTGGTAATACAATTGCACTGACTGTGCTGTGTTCTTTCAAGAGCACAACTAAAATGGTAAAGAAAAATAGAATTTCTTTCAAGAAAGGGACTGGCCTCACTTCCATTTCACTTTTCTCCCTGGCTGGAATGCAAACATGGTGAGCCCTCTTGGACCTAGACCTAGGCAATCCCTTAGCAATGTCAGTGCAACAAGATTATATCTCGTTTAGTGGAAAACAGAGTGGGGTTGAAGTAAAAAGTAAATATATTTGAAATTTTGAATGAATTGAGAAGTATGCAAATCCAGGGGGTGGTCATGGAAATGAACATTTGCAGAGGTGAAGGTATCTGGAGCTGAGTACATGAAGAAATTATGAAGCAAATGTGTTGGATAGACACATCACACGGAATTTTGGTAGGGTTAGAATGAAGTGTGAACCAAATTTTAAAATGTTAAGAGCAGTGACACAAAATAATTGATGCTGGCAATGCAGAGGGGCAGAAAGTTACTTGGCTGAGAATGTAAGAATCTCTTAAGAGATAGTACTTTTACTAAAGCCTGGATGTATAACAGTTTGCAAGTGGCAATGAAGAAAAAAGTATAACCATTCGATTTCACAATATTCATAAACATATGTGGTAGAAAATATCTATCCCTCTTGATGAGAAAAGAGGTCAAGCTGCAACAAAACCAAGCCAATACAATATTTTTGAGGATATTATTTAATGTAATAGCAAAATACGAAAAGGAGAGAAATAACATGAGTGAGGAGTAGAATGTGCTTAGCATTTATGGAGTTATATTCTGGTGAGATGAAAGCAAATGGTGAAGACTTAGAAAAAGAGAACCCTCAAGTTCAGGATGAGAATTTATGAAATACTAAAGTTTGTTATTTGAAGATGTGTACTTGAAT
Source organism: Homo sapiens (assembly GCF_000001405.40). Taxonomy (NCBI): domain Eukaryota; kingdom Metazoa; phylum Chordata; class Mammalia; order Primates; family Hominidae; genus Homo; species Homo sapiens. The sequence continues at coordinate 95,215,510 of NC_000006.12, read as the reverse complement.
CTGAAAATTAAAGAAATTAATCATTTCTCTTCCATTATTGTATTAGCTTTCTATGGCTATGTAACAATTTATTACAAACTTAACAACATAAAAACATGAATTTTTAAATTTCACCATTTTTATGGATCAGGTTATGTGTGGGTAATTGGGCTGTCTGCTCAGGTTCTCGCCTGGCTAAAATTAAGGTTTTGGTCAGGACTACAATCTCATCTGAGGCTAGGGATCATTTTCCAAGGTCATCCATTTTGTTATTAGAGTTCAGTTTCTTGCAGTTGTAGGACTGAGGTTCCCATTTCCTTGCTGTGTCTCAAACTGGGGCTACTTTCAGCTTCTAGAGCCTGCCCTTTGGTCGTAGCCATGTGGCCTCTCACAACATCATAGATTACTTCTTTAATGTCAGCAAGAGAATCTCCCTCTATTCAACTTTGATGGAATCACAAACACAACATAATCACAAAAATGACTATCATATTAACTGTGCCTTACGATGTGACCTAATCAGGGGAGTTACTACCCCATCTTCTACACAGTTCCCAGCCACACACAAGGAGAGGAGATTGTTCAGGGTTTGTATGCCTAGGGGACAGAATTTTGAGAATGATCTTAGAATTCTGCTAGCCACACTGATTAAGTAGATCCTGGTAAACTGTGTTCCCAGAGGTGACTGCAACAATCTCCCATTCCATATGCTGTTTCTCAACATGATGTTTCCCTTTACATAAGTCAGGCATATTTTTCCTTCTATTTAATCTGAGTATAAATGAGGACATAGACAGTAGCCCTAGCTGAGCTTCTATCCCACAGTCAACACCAAACTCCATCCAAGTGAGTAAGACCATTTTGGACTCTCCAGCGTTCCTAGTGCCCCTAGCCAAAACCATGTGAAGCAAAAAATTGAGTCAACCCAGTTAGTTATTTAAAAAATAATAAGAAATTAATATTTAAGTCAATTGTTGATGTTGTTTTGGGTGCTTTGAGATGTGGTAGGAGTAACCAAAATACGGGCAAAATCATGAAAAGTTTAGGTACCTGTGGTAAAAGGCATAAGGGAAAGACAGTCTGTGAAAGAGTAAGAAAGTGAGAATGAATACATATGAATAACTAGGATGCTCATATAAGTTTAACGTGCAAATAGTAACATGATTGAGTGAGGAAAAAATCAGAATGAATGTTACATCAAGATGACCAGCAGAAACATGGTATATATTAAATGAAGGGGAAAAGGCACAATAAGAAAGGCTGGTTTGATTGTCTTGTGAAATAAAAGTTATGTAAAAATATGTTAGTATGAGCCAGGCACAGTGGCTTACGCCTGTAATCTCAGTACTTTGGGAGGCTGGGGAGGGTGGATTGCCTGAGGTCAGGAGTTCAAGACCTGCCTGGCCAACATAGTGAAATGCCATCTCTACTGAAAATACAAAAAAATTAGCTGGTCATGGCGGCAGGCACCTGTAATCCCAGCTACAAGGGAGGCTGAGGCAGGAGGATGGCATGAACCCAGGAGGCGGAGGTTTTAGTGAGCCGAGGTGGCACCATTGCACTCCAGCCTGGGCAACAAGAGCAAAATTCTGTCTCAATAATAATAATGATAATAATAATACATTAGCACAAGCTACAGTTTACAAATACTGAAAAAGAAGAAATGCACTGCTATGGAGCATAATATTATTTCAAAAGTATTTAAAGGCTATCCAAATGCTGTTTAATATTACCAAAAATATCCAAATACACCAGAACCACCAAAACACTGGCTGCCAGAGAGTTTGGTAAATCTCTTGAGGCTACCTAAGTGAGGTTATAACTAGAAACACAGAAAAACCAGTTTCTTTTTTCCAGTTCAACAGAATATCTCAGAATGGAGCCCAAAGGACCTCTTATGGTAAAGCTTCCTCTGTGTATTATCTTTTCACTAATAGAGAGGCACAGAACTGAGCTTACTTTATGAAACTAAATGTTTTTCTGTTTTTAACTTATGGCTATTTTTAACTTGTGTAAAATACGATTATATATGAGTTAAAACTAATGTTTTGATTTGACGACAGTAAAAGTAAATGATATATATATTTATATATATATAAATTGGTATATGTGTTAAATATTCCAGAATTTATAGGTAAAAATGGAGTCTAAGTGGTTTTAAGATATTTTAAATAATTGATAAGACTTATTATAGATATTCTTGAATAATGATTTATTCTATTCTAAATATTTTCCTTCTCACCTAGGATTCATTAATATCTGAAGCTTAATATATTAAAAAAGTTTTCAGACTCTTTAATTATCAAAATAATTATTAATTTAGCTGTCCGGTTAAGCTTGATTAGTCTGATCAAAGGATGTAAGTGAAAGATTACAGAGAGTTTAGGTATAAAGAATAGGATTGTAGAATCAGATGTTTTACTATCAGTGTTACCTTTGGCATTTAAAATACATACACGCAAGTCCTATGTTTAGTAAGTTTAATGTTCAAATTTACAAAAAATATAATGGGCTGGCATCAAACTTCATTGACTTTCTTGATTGTTATGAACTTTATAATTACTGCATTTTAGCAATGCCTGCCAAAGCCACTAAGAATCTTGACATCAGTGGGAAGTGTTCCACTTTGAAATCTTAAATTCAACTGCCAACTCTTTGTCCATCACCTCTTTCTTCCAGGGTTCTCATCCCTGACACTTTTAACACGCGCACTTTGACCTCATTAAAACTTCCCAGTCCCTTGACTTGTCCTTCTTTAATTATTAAATAATCTGAGCCTTATTTTATGTTTTCCCGCTAAACCTAGTTTTTAATATGCATTTCATAGACTCCCTTTTCTCCACACTCAATTGCCTTTGCCAAATCTTTAACCAAACTTCAACATTAGATCAACTATAATATTTTCACAGACATTCATTAATTCTACAGTAGGCTTTCTATTGAAAATAGTAAAATATGGCATTCCAGTTACTTAGAGATAAATGAATGAATGACTTCAACCTCCTGCAATTGGAGTATAAGTGCCACTGAACAAACCATTTACCTAATAAATCTTTTTTCCAATTATTCAAAGGCTACTTCAATATTTTCATTTTCTCCTTGAGCCTCCTACTTTAACATAAGCACTGGCTTGCTTTGGATGAATTAGATGCTTACTTTACAAAGGAAACAGAATATATCAGGAATAAAAAATCTTTCCAGTTTTAAACACACACACATACACATACACATACACACATGCACTCTTTTAAACATTTATTTATTGAGGTTGATGCCAAAATCATAATGATTCCTTCTTCCTTGGAATGACTCCTTCCATTTACAGGGGTGAAACTTAAATGCACTGAGTGTCTTGTATTTTAAGTGGATGGCTGGCTTAAACTGGGGCAATCTAATTTTGTCTTCTGTAAATTTATAATTGGGATAGCACTTTAGTCTATGTAGGTGTTAAACATAATAAGTGAATTCAGAAGCTATAGGAAGCTTTATTCTTTCATGTAGACTAAGAAACAGAGAAAGCTGTTTTCCAGTTCTGCAAGCACAGAAAATCAGGAGAATATAAATAAAATGGTAACTTTGTGCTTTAATCTTTCAGGTTTTTGTTTAAGTACCTCAAGTGCCTAGGTTACATTTCTGCCAATGGATTCCTGGCCTCTTTTCTCAGAAATATTCCCTTTTACTTGGCTAAACTAGCCGAAATTAATTTTTATCACATACAAATAAAAATTCTTAAATAAGACACATGTGCTTCTCTAAAAAAATAACTTTTGCATATGTAAAATTTTGAGGGCATTGACAAGTAATATGATGGATATTTACATCATTTCCACATTACTTATGATGCTCCTTCTGTGTCCAGTTTTTAGCTCGATATGTGGGTGGGTCAGCTTAGGTGAGTAATTTAATTTTGATAATTATCGTGAAATTATCCTCCAAAATGTTACTCCAAATTACACTTACATGGAGACCATTTGAAAGTGTCTCTTTCTCCATAACCTACTTATAAGAAAACAAAACATATTCCAAATTGTTTGTCAACATCTTGGAATAAAATGATATCTCCTTGTAATTATATTCATTTATATCATTATATATTGTCTTATGATTATATATTTATTAATAAGTGAATATAACAAGGAGATATCATTTTATTCATTGTTTCCCTTTAGCTGGATTTTAGGAACACTTTATACATTTTAGTGATTAAATTTGTATTATATAGTGTTTCTGTTTCACTCTTTCTCTCAATTACCTTAATATTATTTTTGGTGTCATTAACAGTTTTCTATTTTAATTGTAAACATTTATGGTTTTGAGATTTTTTTCTATGCTAAGAAAACCTTCCCCTTTTCAGATAATGGTAAAGGAATCCTAACTTTTTTCAGTAGTTATTCAGATTATCTTCCATTTAGATACATAAAAAATATATTCAGGCTATTTTGAATAAATGGTGTAATTAAGGGATCAGTTTTAACAATCTGTTTCCAAATTACCTCAGTGCCACTCTTTGGCTTGCTTTTGCTTTTTCCTCACTGATTAGAAGTGCCATTGCTAAGAATGAATTAGATGCTTGTATATACTACATGTTTCTTGATCTTATTTTGTTCCTTTCTGACTGTGGGTAAGTACAGAATTGTTTTAATTATTATAGAATTTTAGTATGCTTTGGTATCTGGTAGTACAAACTTTCTTATTTTTTAACTTATTTTTTTTAATTTCTCTTGATCTTTATTGAGTATTTTATCTTTAAAAAGCACAACTTGATAGTTTTTAGATTAGGACTAAATTTTATTTTTATATACTGAGAGTATGCTCTTTGGTATATAAGCATCCTGAATATGTAAATTATTTGATTTATTATTTTTCTATTATATAGAAACCATTTTTATTCGTAATAATACATTCTTGCAATTTATTTTGTATGATTTTTAATAGATACATCAGCTCTTTCTCTGTATACATTTATGTACTATTATTACTTAACTGTACCTGGACCTTCTTTATGACTTAGGGTGCTTGTTGATTTAGCTTCCCTAACTATCTGCAAATATTGTCTTTTATTTGCAAGTATTTTTCCATTTGCATTTATTACATTTATTATTGTTAATATAATTAAGTAAATTTCACCCATAATATTTTGTTTGAATATGCTCCCAGAATGGTTGCAAGTTTGTTTTTGCCAAAAGTTCCAATGATATTCCTGGTCCTAAGGTTTTATTTTATTTTATTTTGGTAATTATTTTCTTAAGACATTTTCCTAAATTTAGGTATTATAAATTATAGACTCTCATTTTTGTGAAATAAAGTTAATTCTCAAGGAAATTTCTCCTTTTCCCTCCATTTGCCTCCCGATGATTAGGCAGAAACATACATGAATACTTATTGCTTGGTGTTTAAGACAAACTTTGCTTTGTCCACTTTTCTAGTGAGATTATAATCGTTTCAGAGTGTAGCTTTATGTATAAGATCTCAACTCCAGCTCCCACATCACTTTGTCCAAGAGTTTTACCCCTTGTCTCTCTGTAGGAATTACATCTAGTCAATCTCCCAATTGCTGAGACAAGCATCCTTTAAAACCCCAAGCAGCTATTACTTAATTGTCAGTGTTTTTTTAACATGAAGATTTTTTCCTAGCAAATTTGATATGTTTTATGTTTTTGTAGCAAGAGGAATTTCACTTAGTATCACCTGTCATTTCTAGAACTGGAAGGTTCATTTTTGTTGTTTTAACTTTAAGTTAAAATTACATAATAGTGATTATTACACATTGTATGCCCGTATCAAAATATCTCATGTAGCCCATAAATATATATACCTACTGGGTACTCACAAACATTAAAAATAAATAATAATAAATGATACTGAAATTGTCTCCTGAATGAAACTATCTAAACCTGCTTTTTAAAGTTAGAAATAAGTAATAAATGATACTTAAATGATCTCCTGAATGAATGAAACTATCTAAACCTGATTTTTTAAAATCTGGAATATATCTTATTGCTTCCATTCAAATACAAACTCCCTGAATCTTTGGTAAAAAATTATTGAAAATTGATCAAAAATTATTCTTATTAATGGAGGAATATTTGAAATAACAATTTCTTTGGGTTCTAGTTAGAGCACGTTTTCAGTAACAACAAAAATGTAAAAAGCGACATGGCAAAATCACCATTTCCTTTTCAGTTTAGAGGTGCACCATACTGTATCACAGAAAATTTATTCATACTGCTAGACAAGCCAAAATTTGTGGAATAGACATATGTTCAGATACCTCCAAAAATCTAGTAGCATCCACTGTTGAAAAGTCCCAAAAGATATGCTTACTTCAGCAATATTGCTGCTGGTAGGAATTTGTCACTCTTTACATTGTTAAATTTAAATGCAAAAGAATAGAAACTTTAATTCCCATCGTAATCCTTCAAAACTTATCTCTAGTGATAAAAAAAAAAAAAAGCCTTTTAAACTAGGCTACAATAATTTCCCCCAACTATTCGGTAATAGGAATAGAACACAAATTAGACATAAAAAAATCCCGTTCAACTTTTGAACACAATTTTAAAGTGAAAGTTTTATTCTGAATTTGAAATTTGCCAAGGTCTGTGGCTGAGTTTCAGATATCCACTTCCCTTCTTGGCAGCAGATAATTTGGAAATCAGAAGTCTGCACACTTGAGATATTTCCAGGCTTAGAGTGTCAAAAAGACAAGATGACATATGGTGAAGTAAAAGGGATTTCTCACTTTCAGGAACACATTTCAACTTCCAAAACATAAAAATAAATAAGTGCTTTTTCAAATTCATAAAAGAAATAATGAGAATTTTGCCCAAATATTATAGACATATCAACGTTAAGCAGCAAGATGTTTGAGTCTATCACTTCCTGCAAGCTTTCTGCTAAATAGATAAGTTCAAATTTCAGGATTGTCATGTTAACTTTGGCATAAACGTGCTTTTATCTTTGGCAAAGATGACAGTAATCCCCCTCAAAGAAAAATTATAGTGTAATTAAAGTATACAATTTGATGTTTTTATACCAACGTTTCTCTGGGGAGTTTCTTCTATACTCTACTTGCTAATTTTAAGTTCAAATGCGAGTATTAAGGGAATTGAGTTGGAGGAGACAAAGGTCTGTGAAAATGATTCATTCTGTTGTCCATTTACCTTGCTCTTTTTTTTTCTGCCCTTACTGCCTGATTGTTACAAAGGCAGAAGTTGATGTAATCTGGAATTTTGCTACTCCAGTTATTTTAATCTGTTGGTCTTTAGAACACATTGATACATCTTAGCACTTCAAATGACAAGTAGTTACAAATTAAATTAGTCAATTTTGTAACTTCTTTCTGACTATTGGCAGAAGAATTTCGTTTTTTTTTTTTAAAGATTCACTGTGGAGTGAAGGATTAAGCATGCTTGCAGATCTCCACTATGTAGATAATTATTATAGATTATCAATTGTTTCATTAGTATAAATACTTCAAAAATATTTTCTTTTTAATTGCAGAATAACTTAATCGACAATAGTTCTGAGATGATTTGAGAAATTATGTGAAGAAATACTGCAAGTTTAACAAGAAAGTTTTATAAAATTGCCCATATGAATCTTTTTTGTTATTTAGATTTATATAAGGGATATCTTAGTGTGACAGTTTCTTTAGAATATGAGTGCAAGTCTAAACACATTTGGAAAATGACATAAAGTTATCAAAGAAAGTAGCATATTGTAAAAACTCATTTTATAAAGCAGTTTTTCCAAACTGTCAGATTATAGAAAGCATTCGTACATGGGTAGAGTAAGATTTTTCCCCCACATTTATTTTTAGATAATGAGAAATGAACTGTAAACTTTTTAAATGTCTCACTTTGCTAAGCCATAAAATATGGAATTTAAGTCTCCAAATAGCTCCTGATCTTGAGCCACTAATACTCTAGATTCTGTAGTGTTAATAGATTATATTAAAGATAAAAATTGATGTCTTCATTACTTCCAATTTTATGTAAGAGGAAAAGAAAAGGTAAAATAAAATGTATAAGCCTGTATAATAAAATGGTCATTTAAGCCGTGTGGGCCTCAATAATGTATCAATAAAAATAATTTATTATACACTTCATAAGATAAATTAAATTACACTTAGGAGGCAGAAGCACCCTGAGCTTTCAAAGAGAAGCACAGTATTGCAAAAATATGCTTGCTTACACAAGCTATAAATTATTGGCGGATTAAGGTTACATGTATGGTAGATAATTTGTTTGTAGAAATCACCCCAAGTCACTATTTCTCTTAGTTTCATTATAGAAAAAAATATGTTTAACTTATATCTGAGATCATAATATAGCCCATGAACTAGGAATAGAGAAAATCAAACATAGATTAGTATGTATAACATTGTTACCAAATATCCAGTACTATTTTCCAAGCTGACTGTTCCCCTCTATGATGATACTTATGCCTACATTTCTTTACGTTTCACAAGGAACAGATCAGATAAATCATGTATTTTGCATTTAGATTCAGATTACACTTTATCAATAGACTTCTCATAAGACCCTACTCTTCCCTGATGATTGCCAAATAGACATCAAAACATTTCAAAATAACTTACCATTGTCTAAAATTCAGTGTTTATACCATGGAAATATCTGAGGTCTTCCATAGAGTCACATATTAATGTTTCAGCAAAAACCATATGTATATAAATATGTGTGTATATATACATATATGTGTATATACATATATGTGTGTATATACATATATGTGTATATACATATATATGTGTGTATATACATATATGTGTATATACATATATATGTGTGTATATACATATATGTGTGTATATGTGTATATACATATATGTGTGTATATACATATATGTGTATATATGTATATACATATATGTGTGTGTATACATATACGTGTGTATGTGCGTATACACACGTATATACATATATGTGTGTATGTGCGTATATACATGTATATACATATATGTGTGTGTGCGTATATACATGTATATACATATATGTGTGTATGTGCGTATATACATGTATATACATATATATGTGTGTATGTGTGTATATACATGTATATGTATATACATATACGTGTGTGTATATACATGTATATGTATATACATATACGTGTGTGTATATACATGTATATGTATATACATATACGTGTGTATATACATGTATATGTATATACATATATGTGTGTATATACATGTATATGTATATACATATATGTGTGTGTATATGTGTGTATACGTATATACATATATATGTGTGTATATATGTGTATATATATATGCATATATATGTATGACACTAGTAGCTAAAGTTTTTCTGGGAACAACTTTAAGCATGTATTTAAGATTAATGTCCTAAATATTAATTTCAAATTGAGAGCAGTATGCAATTATCCAACCTAAAAATGAAACAAGCTATTTTAAATATATGATTTTAAAAGCCAATGATTCTGTGCATTACTTTGCCAATTTTTCCTTAGAAATGTAAGAATAGTCTTGCAATTCTAATACATTTCTCTCTCTCTGTGTATACACTCTGTATATACACACACACATACAGTAATACAAAATAGAATATATTTTAGTACTTAATTACATACAAGTACACATACATACACATATATGTGATTAAGTAACATTTGGAAAAGAGGCTTTGAATATAGTAAAATAAAGATAGCATGGTAATACCTTTACACAGAAGTCATTTTTTGCATGTATGATTATAACCTTAGGATAACTCATTAGAAGTAAAATTTCTGGCTCAAAAAGCATGAACTGTTTTCAGGATCTATCTATATTAACACCCTAGGTAATTTCGTTCTCTTTTATGAGTTTAAAAAGAATTTATACACGAAACACCCAACTGAGAAGCTCCAATTCTGGCCTCTCTCCTCAAATCTGAAGTGATGGGTCCAAATAAATGATGCCTCCAACTGACAATGTAATAAGTATTTAAAACTTAAAATGTCCAAAAAAGGAAAAAAAAAGGCCATTTGATTTTATAAGCAAAAGCATGTTAAAATCCGAGTTATGTCATATATCCCTATTCAAAATATACTTATTTCTATTCATCTGAGGGAATGAAAGCCAAAATCCTTGCCATGTCTTATAAAGTTCTACATGATATGAGGCATTCTGTCTCTGCTCTTTCTCTCTTTCAGCCTACTCAGTGCCATGTTCATTGGCCTCCTTGATTTACTGCTAACGTGCCTAGCATGCTCCTTCCCTAGGCACTTTCCAAGCACTCTTCCCTCTATCTGGATTGTTTGTCTCCCAGTCCACCAGATAGCAACATGGCCTATTCCCTCCCTTCTTTCAAGTCTCTGCTTTTATGATTTCTCTTACTTACCTGAGACAACACGGTGGTGATCCATGATCACCATTTTTAATATGACACCCTCTATCCTAACACTCCCTTTCTTTTTATCTTATTTATTTATTTATTTATTGAGACGGAGTCTTGCTGTGTCACCCAGGCTGCAGTGCAGTGGGGTGATCTTGGCTCAATGCAGCCTCCACCTCCCAGGTTCAAGCGATTCTCCTCCCTCAGCCACCCAAGCAGCTGGGATTACAGGCATGAGACACCACGCCCGGCTAATTTTTGCATTCTTAGTAGAGATGGGCTTTCGCCATGTTGGCCAGGCTGGTCTTGAACTCCTGACCTCAGGTGATCCTCCCATCTCGGGCTCCCAGAGTGTGGGAATACAGCCACTTTATTTTATTTTATTTTGCTATATATCCCTCATATACACCCAGGCTATTAGACGTTTGTTGTTCTTTTTCTTTTTCCACCCTCCACATAATACCCATGCTGAAGGCATGGACCTTGTCACTTGTATCCAGAGCTGCACTATCACCTTTAGGACATTTCTTGGCTGTGACAGGTGTTCCTAAAATATTAATACAGTTGATAAAAGAATGAAGATATTTTAGGCATATTAACAAATAGATTTCTGCAAGTTTGAATTATTTTAGTCAATCACATCTATGTGTTTGAAGGTGCCCTTTCAACTGTGCTTTAATCAATATTTGAAATGTAGCCCTCTCTGCAACCAACACACACACATACACACTCACACACATGCCCAGCCCTCTGCAAGGCTGACAGGAATGAAGTATAGAAATGATGCAAGAATAGGGCACTTTCACGTTTCACTGTGAGTCGAGTACTCTGTATAAATGGTGCTTTGAGTATTTAGAGAGTTGCTGAGGATTGAAGGAGGAGAGAGACAGGAAGGGTGTAAGACAAGTGCAAAAGATAAATGTAGAGAGAAATAGCACACAACAATAGAAAATAGACTTGGCAGAACTATTTTAGCCAAGAACTGAGATGGGCATTGGATTTTCACATGTGTCCCAAAGCATTGATTACATTTTTTCACCATTTCTGTCAATGTGCTCTAAAAGCTAGCACAGCAAAAGGAAATCAAGTTTTTGCTATATATGTCTTGGAATAGTGAAAGAAAAATACCACAAATAATGAGCCATGATTTAAACTGGATAGTGAAACGATGGTTTATGTTTTACAGTGAAATACTTCACTCTGTTTTCTCAAGAACACTTTGGTTAGCTTCTATTTTTAGTATATAAGCATCTTGTCTTAGATCTCAAAGATGGAGCCCAAAACTTTTCAGTTGAATAAATTTATAGAGCATTTATACATTGTGTTTTCAGACAAAATAGTCTCTCTCTCTTTCTCCCTCTGATGTATCTATCTATCCATATGTACATTATAACTAGTCAATTCAGAGACTAATGATGAAAATGTGCAATAAACCAAGAATTATGATTACTCTAATTCTGAATACATGAGTTTCATTTAAATACAATGTTACAGGAATACCTCATTTCATTAGTCTTTGCTTTATTGTGCTTCACAGATATTTCATTTTTCATAAATTGAAGGTTTGTGGCAACCCCCATGGAGCAAGTCTATCAGTGCTATTTTCCACCAGCATGTGCTCACTTCCTGTCCCTGTGTCACATTATAAGAATTCTCAAAATAGTAAAAACTTTTTCATTATAGTTATATTTGTGATGGTTATCTGTGAACAATGATATCTGGTGTTACTATTCTAATTATTTTATAGCGCCATGAACTGGGCCAATATAAGATGGTGAACTTAATTGATAAACATTCTATGTGTTCTCACTGCTCCACCTACTGGCCACTCCCTGTACCATTCTCTCTATTCTCTCTTTCTATCTCCCTCCTCCCCTTATCCTCCCTAACCCTCTCCCTCCCTGTCTTCTCTAAGCCTCCTTATTCCGTGAGACACAACTATATTTAAATTGGGCCAATTAATAAAGTTCCAATGGCCTTTTTGTGTTCAAGTAAAAGGCAGAGTTGCATATTTCTCAATTTAAATCAAAAGTTAGAAATGATTAAGCTTAGTGAGAAAGGTATGTTGAAAATCTAGATAGGCCTAAAGCTCATTTTCTTGTGACAAACAGTTAGCCAAGTTATAGATGCAATGAAAGAGTCCTTGAAGGAAATTAAAAGTGCTACTCCAGTGAACATGAGAATAATAAGAAAGTGCAACAGTTTTATTGCTGATACAGAGAATGTTTTAGTGGTCTGGATAGAAAATCAAATATTTCCACAAGCCAAAACCTAATCCAGAGGAAGGCCCTAACTCTCTTTAGTTCTACGAAGGCTACGAGAGGTGAATAAGCTACTGAAGGAAAGTTTGAAGCTGTTATTGCAGAGATCTGTTCATGAGGTTGAAGGAAAGAAGCTCTGTCCATAACATAAAAGTGCAAGGTGAAGCAGTAAGTCTGTTGTAGAAACTTCAGCTGGTTACCATGAAGACCTAGCTAAGAAAATTGACATACGTGGCTGTGCTAACAACAGATTTGTAATGTGCACAAGACAGTCTTCCATTGGAAGGAGATGCCATCTAGGACTTTCAAGCCTAGAGAGAAGTCAATGTCTGACTGCAAAGCTTCAAAAGACAGGCTAACTCTTGTTGGGGCTAATACAGCTGATGACTTTAAATTGAACCCAATACTCTTTTACTATTCTGAAAATCCTAGGGCCCTTAAAAATTATGCTAAATCTACTCTTCTTGTGCTATATTAATGGAGCGTCAAAGCCTGGACAGCAACACATCCATTTACAGTATAGTTTACTGTGTTTTAAGCCCACAATTGAGACTTACTTCCCAGAAAATATACATTTCTTTCACAATGTTGCTAATCATTGACAATACATTTTGTCATTCAAGAACTCTGATGTAGATGTACGAGGAGATTAATGTTGCTTTGGTGTTTGCTAACACAATATCCATTCTGTAGTCTGTGAATCAAAAAGCAATTTTGACGTTCAAGTTTTTTTTTTATTTAAGAGATACATTTCATAAGGCTATAGCTTCCATAGATACTTATTCCTCTGATAGATTTAAGTAAATTGGAAACCTTTGGAAATGACTCACCATTCTAGATGCCATTAAGAATACTCATGATTCTTCAGAAAATATCAAAATATTAACATTAACAGGAGTTTGGAAGAAATTAATTCCAATCCTGATGAATGACTTTGAGGGTTTCAAGATTTCAGTGGTGGATGTGACTGGAGATGCAGTGGAAATAGCAAGATAACTAGGATTGGAAGTGGATCCTGCATATGTGATTGAATTGTGGCAATCTCAGAAAATACTTTAATCAATGAGGAGTTGCTTTCATGGTTAGAAGAGAAAGTGGTTTCTTCAAATGAAATCTACTCCTATGAAGCTATCGTGAACACTTTTGAAATGACGATGAAGGATTTAGAACATTACATAAACTTAGTTGATAAAGCAGTGGCAGGGTTTTACAGAATTTACTGCAATTCTGAGAAAAGTTCTACTATGGCTAACATGCTATCCAACAGCACCTAATGCTATAGAGAAATCTTTGCAAAAGGAACAATCAATAGGTATAGCAAACCTTACTGTTCTTTTATTTTAGACCTTGCCACAGCCACCCTACTTTTAGCAACCACCATTCTGACCAGCAGTCATCATCATCGAGACAAAAACCTCCATCAGAAAAGATTATGACTCTCTGAAAGCTCAAATGATTATTAGCATTTTTTAACAATAAGGTATTTTTAATTAAGTTATGCTCCCTTTTTTTTGGACATAATGCTATTTCACACTTAATAAACTCTCAGTATAGGGTAAACATAACATTTATATGCACTCAGAAACCAAAAGAAAAAAAAAACCACAAACAAACATGTGTGTGACTGGCTTTATTACAATATTCCTGATAGGGCTGGGCTCTGTGTCCCCACCTAAATCTCACCTTGAATTGCAATAATCCCCACATGGCAAGGGTGGAACCAGGTGGAGACAATTGAATCATGGGGGTTGTTTTCCTCATGCTGTTCTCCTGATAGTGAGTGAGTTCTCAGGAGATCTTATGATTTTATACGGAGCTTCCCCCTTCACTCAACACTCAATCTCTCTCTTGCTGCCCTGTGAAGAGGGGCCTTCTGCCATGATTGTAAGTTTCCTGAGGCTTCCCCAGGCATGTGGACTGTGAGTCAATTAAACCTCTTTTCTTTATAAATTACCAAGTCTTGGGTATTAATTCATAGCAGCTTGAGAATGGACTAATACAATCCCCTTGATTGTGGTGGTCTGAAACTGAACATTCAATATCTCCAAGGTATGCCTGTATTTGTGTATGGTAATATTGTGATTGATACCACTAATGATTCAACCTTAGATAAGTATACTAAATCAATCATGGTAGTAGTTCCATTGTCTTTATCACTGATTGGTTAACATTTTGATATGCTTGGAATTATTTAGGCCAATAAGAGACCAGGTAAAGCATTTCTACAGCAGTTTGAAAAAAAAGGAAACTTGCTCCTTTGGATAAAAACAAAGAAGAACACTTCCCTCTGAAATGCTAAAACTAATATTGGGTGAATCCAATATCTGGCAAAGGAGTTATACAAAAGAGATAGACATACACCCAGAGACATACCCCACAACAAAAGAAAGGCAGTGATCTCCATGGCAACAAATCGGAACTGACAAGAACAGGCAGTGAAAACTTCGGCCTTTAAGACTGAGTTTTAATCTAGAAATATTTGAATGATATTTGGCTTCAATTGGCATGTTATTATGGGTAAGATTGTTTCATCACTGCTCAGTGCTTTTGAGATTCAATAAACAATGTTGATAGCAGGCATTAAAAATAAAAGCAAATGAAATTAATACCCAATATTGTACATAATTGAGTTGTGACTATTCAACATATCTTATAATATTTGAAATATAAATTAATTATATTAATTTTTAATTACATATTTTTGGTAATGCGGACACTACAATAGTTATCAGCTGATTTCCACACATCTGGAATAACTATTGTTTACCAAACATATTTGTGTTAAAAAGTTACAGCTGTAGTGAAATACGAGGGCAAAAATTATTTAGTACTATATTTATAATATGTAAATTACTGTTAATTGTTCATAATTAAATGTTTTTGAAAGAAAATGAAGAATTATTATAAGTCATATACATAGCTCTATAATGAGAAAAAAGTATGTTTAAAAGTAGGTTTAATTAATGTAATTATAACTTGATCATTGTGTTATTCTTCAATAGGATATCAAGAAAGAAATAGAGTTTAGCTTGGCACACAAGGATAAGTGGGATCCTGCCTATTACCTGTTCTCCTATATTCACCAAAGGAATCCTTGGTTCTAAACAAGCAAAATTTTAAGTATTTTATTTCTTTTTTAGTGTCTTAACTTTCTTTTCTCCTTTTTCCTTATTCTCTTATATCTTATTATAAACTTTTCCTACTTTCTAATCTGACCACATGCCATTTACCTCTGTCACCATAGTATCCTGTGCCTATCATTACAATAGATTTTGTCATGCTTCACAGCACTTCTCTAGTTGCCCATTTCTCCCACTATAATGGAAGCTCTCTGAAGACAGACTTTTCCTTAACTCTTCATCTCTTCTGTTTACCACAGTGTGTAGCATATAGGACACATTTAATAAATATTTGTTAAAACCATGTGTAAACAAATAAATGAAATTAATGAGGCACCAGTAAACTCTGTGTGTCCAAATAAAAAAGAGAAACAGGTCACAATTTAAATTTTAATTTCATATAATGACTTTTGCTATTATTAATTAAACTTCAAAAATATTATCTAAGCCGTCTTCCCAAATATAATCAAAATGGTATTAATCTGTTCTCATGCTGCTAATAAAGATATACCTGAGACTGGGTGATTTATAAAGGAAAGAGGTTTAATTGACTCACAGTTCCACATGGTTGGGGAGGCTTCACAATCACGGCTGAAGGCAAATGTGAAGCAAAGTCACGTCTTACATGGCAGCAGGCAAGAGAGCTTGTGTAGGGGAATTTTCCTTTATAAAACCATCAGATCTCTTGAGACTTATTCACTACCATGAGAACAGCATGGAAAAGACCCACCCCCATGGTTCAATTACCTCCTACCAGGTCTCTCTCATGACACATGGGAATTATGGGAGCTACAATTCAAGATGAGATTTGGGTGAGGACAGAGCCAAATCATATCATTCCAACTCTGGTCCCTCCCAAATATCACGTCCTCTCATTTCAAAGCCAAACATGCCTTCTCAACAGTCCCCCAGATTCTTAACTCATTTTAGCATTAACTCAAGAGCCCACAGTCCAAAGTCTCATCTGAGACAAGGCAAGTCCCTTCCACCTATGAGCCTATAAAATCAAAAGCAAGTTAGTTACTTCCTAGATACAATGGGGGTACAGGCATTGAGTAAATACACCCATTCCAAACGGGAGAAATTGGGCAAAACGAAGAAGCTACAGACCTCATGCAAGTCTGAAATCCAGTGGGGCAGTTAAATCTTAAACCTCCAAAATGATCTCATATGACTCTCTGTCTCACATCCAGGTCATGCTGTTGCAAGAGGCAGGCTCCCACAGTCTTGGGCAGTCCTCCACCGTGGCTTTGAAGGATACAGCCCCTGCTGGCTGGTTTCACGGGCTGGCATTGAATGTCCTCAGTTTTTCCAGGGGCATGGTGCAAGCTGTTGGAGGATCTACCATTCTGGGGCCTAAAGGACAGTGGCCCTCATCTCACAGCTCTACTAGGCAGTGCCCCAGTGGGGACTCTGTGTTGGGGCTCGCACCCCACATATCCCTTCCACAAGATATCATACTGGTGGATTACGTTGATGACATTATGCTGATTGGCTCCAGTGAGCGAGAAGTAGAAACACACTGGACTTATTGGTGAGACACTTGTGTGCCAGAGGATGGGAAATAAATCCAACTAAACTTCGGGAAACTTCTACCTCAGTAAAATTCCTAGGGGTCCAGTGGTGTGGGGCCTGTTGAGATATTACTTCTAAGGTAAAGGATAAGTTGCTGCATTTGGCCGCTCCTACAACCGAGAAAGAGACACAAGGCCTGGTGAGCCTATTTGGGTTTGGGAGGCAACACATTTCTCATTTGGGTATGTTACTCCAGCCCATTTATCAAGTGACCCAAATGGCTGCAAATTTGAGTGGGGTCCACAAAAGGAGAAGGCTCAGAGCCAGCTCCAGGCTGATGTGAAAGCTGCTCTGCCACTTAGGCCATACAACCCAGTAGATCCAATGGTGCTTGAGGTGTCAGTCACAGATAGGGATGCTGTTTGGAGCCTTTGGCAGGCCCCCACAAGTGAGTCACACAGAAGGCCTGTAGAATTTTGGAACAAGGCCCTCCCACCTTCTGCAGATAACTACTCTCCTTTCGAGAAACAGCTCCTGTCATGTTACTGGGCTTTGGTGGAAACTGAAAGTTTGACTATGGGTCATCAAGTCACCATGGGACCTGAGCTACCTGTCATAAACTGGGTGCTATCTGACCCATCTAGCCATAAACTGGGGCATGGGAAACAGCATTCCATTGGCCGTCGACTGAAGGCTGCACTATTGTTTCCCTACTTTTGAGGTTTTGGGACTCAGACTGGCTTCCTGGCTCCTCAGTTTGCAGACAGTCTATTGGGGACTTCACCTTGTGATCGCGTGAGTTAATTATCCTAATAAACTCCCCGTCATATATACATCTATTTTATTAGTCCTGTCCCTCTAAGGAACCCTGACTAATGCAAAGTTTATAAAGGAAAGAGATTTCAATTAATTGTCTCACAGTTCCACATAGCTCAGTAGGCCTCACATCATGGCTGAAGACAAATGAGGAGCAAAGTCACATCTTACACGGTGGCAGGCAAGAGAGCTTGTGTAGGGAAACCCCCCTTTGTACAATTATCAGATCCTGTGAGACTTATTCACTATCATGAGAACAACATGGGAAAGACCCACCCCATGATTCAATTACCTGCCACTGGGTGCCTCCCATGACATGTGCGAATTATGTACAATTCAAGATGAGATTTGGGTGGGACACAGCCAAACCATATCAAACACTATCCTTAATTAATTGTAGACTGTGTATACCAAGTATGTTCCCAAAGTTTATATTAAAACTATATTTTATAAATATATTATGTCAATGGATGAAACTATGAAGCAGACATGATTCTTTCATCCCATGTTTAAAAAAATGGAGAAAATGACATCTTTTTCATAGTTAATTAAAGAGCATAGCTGAGAAATGGGAAAGCAGCCATCTAAAAAGCAATATATAAGCAGAACTACTGTATGTATAAAGCAATCTGTATGTATAAAGCAATACTGTATGTATAAAGCAGCCACCTAAAAAGCAATATATAAGCAGAACTACTGTATGTATAAAGCAATCTACCAGTATTTACTTAACCAAATAAACAAAGAATATTTGGTAGCTTCAGGAGAGAAGGAATAGCTAAAGAATTAGCCCTGTGGACACTAACCATGGATATTAAGAGTAGAAAGGCAGGCATCATCTCTCTTAGAAATTGCTATTGAATGTTTCAACCCAAGTTAGCCTTCATCTTTGGGGTGTGCATTCATGATTAACATTCTTGGGAAAGGAAATCTGACCAGTCAACTTTGGAAATTAGGGGACATATGGTTCTGTGATTGGCAAACTGGAACCACACGGCACATATGGTATGTGTGTGTTTGGGCAAAGGAAGAGAGAGGGCAATAAGTTCTCCAAAGGTCACAGATCAGATCCAAAATAAAACAGTTCAAACCAAAACCAGGTGACCACCATAGTCACTTATGCTCTCACATTTAAAGTATCTCTCAAGTTTGTTTTTTTTTGTCAGTAACAAAGAAGAATGGAATGGGTTTAAACAGGCAGCATAATTAACTAAGTTGATTAATATTTCAAAAGTAGATTATGGATTAAAAATTTTACTCAATATTTCAATTAAAATTATCTAATCTCTAGAAAAGTTAACTCTCGCTTATGGTAGTCTATCAAAATCATCAGGAAATATAAATTTATTATCTATTTCAATGAAGATAATTTGACATCCTAGGAAACTGGTTAAACAGATGTTTGAAAGATTAAAATGGAAAAAAAATGACATAATAAAATAGTAATAACTCAGGGAAAGAGACACTACCCATCCAATTGGAGAAATAATGAAGATTTAGAATCTTGGAGGAGGTCCTCATGGAATGATGTCTAATACTCTGGTAAACAGATTCCATCTGGCTCATACTGGTGACTGTGAAAGAATTAACTGAAGCTGGTTCTAGAAGTACCCAGTGATGCAGGGGACTGAGATAAACAACTGCAGGGCTGAAGGGATTTTCTTTACTAGGAAGAACAACAACCGAAAGGACAAAAGAAAGTCTCTTTTCTTTTCAACCATACTTTCTTCTTCATATGTCTCTACAGATAAAAGACAATTTAAGACTCAGCTTACAAAGAAGAGTGTAGAAGGGTAACAGGCAGGGAGGTTGAAGCTGAGAAGACAATAGCTTCGTAACTAGTACAAATAACATTACATTTTGCCAAACTGATATTTGTTCTAAATCATCCCTTTTTTATTGAAATTTTCATTTGAAATCGTTAATTACATGTTACTTTGTGCAATACTAATGGTATACATAAAAATCCATTATAGTTTATATGAATTTAATGTTTGTTTAGGTGAAAAAGTTATCCTGATAATTTCTAGCTTTTTGACTAGAGAGTAGTTTTATAATATATTCATGCTTGTTTGGCTCTAGTAAATGAAGCCAACATTATATATTTTGTTGCCATTTTTTCATCTTCCATTAAGAATGAGGATAATATCTATAAGCCTGCCACACCAGATATGGCCCATTAGTCACAAAAAAAAAAAATAGACAGCTGTATGTGGAATGGATCAACCCAAATTCATCATGACCACTAAAAACAACGCAAAGCAAATATCCTATTAGTGATGTGCCAGCAGCTTGATCATTGCCAGTGAAGGATGGCACATTAATGAATTTATATAAAGGCAGCCCTCAAATTCACATATTTCAAATTAATAGCAATCAGTCAATTACACGCATGATATCGACTTACTTCACATACTGCCCTTGAGCGGGCTGGAAACATACAAATGAAACTGAGTCAGATTTATGATGGATTTGCAGATCCCTAATTTAAATCCTAGCAAATACTTTATCTTTCTGAAATGCAGAGCCATGCAGCTTTAATTAAAATAATCAACTCTAAAATACGTACAATCAATGGCTAAGTAGATATGGCGGGAAAACAAATGACAAAAGCAACAACAAAAATTCGCAACTGAGAAAAATGGAAAGGCATTGAACAGGGAATCTTTGTCCTTTTACTCATCACTAAATAATAGATTATTCTATTATTATTTAGAAAATAATAGATTATTCTATTACTATTTAGAAAATAATAGATTATTCTATTACTATTTAGAAAATAATAGATTATTCTATTATTATTTAGAAAATAATTATTCTGTTATTATTTAGAAAATAATAGATTATTCTACTATTATTTAGAAAATAATAGATTATTCTACTATTATTTAGAAAATAATAGATTATTCTACTATTATTTAGAAAATAATAGATTATTCTATTATTATTTAGAAAATAATAGATTATTCTATTATTATTTAGAAAATAGTAGATTATTATTTAGAAAATAATAGAGAAAAGTAAAGCTTACAGAAATATATGTGATACATTTCTGAAAGGATTCCAAAAATACATGGAATGAAGGTAGCACTGCTAAATAAATACATATATTCTTAATGCTATTATTTCAATAGAGGAGACCAATTTCAAGTTATGTTTTATTTGGTTAAAAAGTACAGTGTTTTAAATATAGTTATGGACCAATTGAAATTATCCTTTTAAATCCTTTAAAGCATTTGGTAAGATATAAAAATGATCTCCTTGAGATCTTTATGTTTACTCCATATCTGTTTGGGAAAGAGGTGAGACACAGTTAATTAAATCAATGATACCGTTAGTTGTTATTTTAAAGCAAAATTCAGCAGTTATGGTTAAGCAGTTATAGTTTGTAAATTTTGTTTTTTAACTCTATTCATCAAAGTAGAATATTCAAATCTGTATGCCATTAAAGCAAATTTTTGAGGTCTTTTGATTTAGAGAAGCAGCATAAGTAGTGAACATTCCAAAGATGAAATAATAAATTGAATAATCAAGTTATGTTTCATCAATGACATATAATGTTTTATTGCAGCTTTTTTCCAGCTGGGTTTTATGTGCATCTGTTTGTGGGAGAGAGAAAGATTCCTTGGGTCTTTGTTTGTTTATAATGAGATTTTAGTTATATCTCTTTTTTTTTCCCCTTGAGATGGAGTTTCACTCTGTCACTAGGCTGGGGTGCAGTGGTGCAATCTTGGGTTACTGCAACCTCTAGTCCCCGGGTTCAAGCAATTCTCCTGCCTCAGCCTCCCGAGTAGCTGGGACTACAGGTGCGCACCACCACGTCCAGCTAATTTTTGTATTTTTAGTAGATACGGGGTTTCACCATGTTGGCCGGGATGACCTCGAGCTCTTTTTTTTTTTTTTCTTTTTTTTTGAGACGGAGTCTCGCTCTGTTGCCCAGGCTGGAGTGCATTGGCGCGATCTCGGCTCACTGCAAGCTCCGCCTCCTGGGTTCACACCATTGTCCTGACTCAGCCTCCCTAGTAGCTGGGACTACAGGCACCCGCCACCACACCCAGCTAATTTTTGTATTTTTAGTAGAGACGGGGTTTCACCGTGTTAGCCAGGATGGTCCCGAGCTCTTGACCTCGTGATCCACCCACCTCAGCCTCCCAAAGTGCTGGGATTACAGGTGTGAGCCACCACGCCTGGCCACATCTTTTTAATACTATTAATACTAATTATTACATTTAATATTAACTAAATTAATCATAATTACAGTTTTTGGTTAGGTTCCTACCTCTTGTGAAAAGTGTGAATTTGGATGGGACTTCAATTCATGCTACAGTTCTGTAATTTTTAATCCTCTTTCCTGTCCTCCCCTGCAAGTATTGTCTTTGAGGAGACAACAGCCCTCCTGAAGGCTTCCCTGGGCTAAAAGTTGGAGATTTTCTAATATGATTTGTATTTATTGGGCACTCTTTTAAGGAGCTGTGTTTTGTACAGAAGCCCTATTATGGTATGCTGGACCCCGTTTGGCCCAAGACTCTGGCTTTTTCTTCCCATATACATTAAAGACTTGGCCCCAACCTCTACATCTGCATTTGACACCCTTACCCTATGGTTCCTGATGGATGGCATCATGGCATCAGCTCTCAGCTGAATATTCTGTTTCGTTACTCGGTAGTTTCTGGTTTTTTTGTGTGTGAGTTTATTTCTCTCAACTTTGGCTAACTACTTATTTTTTTATCTGATATTTATATTTGGTATTATGAGTGGTAGGAGTTGGATTTGTCCAGTCTTATTAGCTTAGTCCATTATACTGAGGAAAGACACTGTATATTTAAAGTACATGTGAAATGGCAGTTGCTGTTGGTAATGAAATGAAAACTCCCAAAGGCAAGAAAAAACCCTGTTTATTTCAAAGGTTCAGAACAACAGTCAACACTTTGCTTTTTAGTATTTTTATTTACTACTAGATCCTTTGCAGCACTGGAAGAAAGAAAAACTAGTCTGTTTGAATTTGCTATTTAGAAAGAGTACTGTAGTTTCATGTAAAAGACATTACATTCAATGCACATATTACTTTGCACACCAAAAAATGTATCAAAAGTTGTACTATATTTTGGGGTATACACAAAATATAACATATGCACATTGACCTCATGTAGTTTAAATTATGTTAAGGAAGCAGACCCAAGTACACTAGCATTACAACTCATCATAATACTAAAGAAACTGTGAAGTGTAAAGCTAAAATGTTCAATCTGACTGAGAAGTGGTTAAAAATTCTTTGGAAATAAAGCAATATTTCTCAATTGTCTGTGTAATAAAATTTCTAAGCCTTTTAGTGACTCCAAGACTTTTGTTTCTCCTTAGCCCTCCCTTTAGCAATGATCACAGAAAATGAGGAAAATAAAAGTGAAATTTGCCTAGTGTAATTCCTTAGAAATTCATAGGTTTGGCAAGTTGGCTGGTGAGGAATATAGACACATAATCAAAATAATTAACTTTTGTTTAATTTTACTCTTGTCAGGAAGTTTCCTAAAAATCATAGTTTTAATTACCAATGCCTTTGTAAATAAGCATTTCCTGAACCAGGCTATGGAGCACATACAACTGTGTTTTTCTATTCATTGATAGATACAGATATAGATACAGACATATCTTTCTATCCATTTTATCATAAGTATGATTACCAGATCCTTTCACCAAAGAAATTTTGTTGCATTTCACTTCATTAAAGGATTGTCACATTCACCTGGAAATACAGTGGTTAACTTTATCTTAATTGGTAAGCTTACTAAAAATCAGAGAATTTAAAACATGAAATAGAAAGATTAACTATCTAGTATTGATAGAAAGATATGAACATTTCTAATCTAACTAAAACTTCAAACTAATTTGATCAGAACCTTTGAAATATACAGCAGGCTGTGTGTGTATTAAGTTGCACAGCATTTGGCTAATAGCCAGGAAATAGTCTAGTGCTACTCTAATGCATTTGGCATGTACTTAGGGCTCTGATACAATGAAAAAAATATTATGCTTGGGTTCGAAGAAAGTACATGCTTATTTAACTTACTGCCATGGAAGATTTTTATTTTAATTTGTTTTATTTTGCTTTTTAATGAATGTTAAATATTTTCAATAAAGACAGCAGGTCCCAGAGAAGGAAAAAGAAAAATTAATGGTGTTTGGTTGTTTTCTTCTTTTTTTGTATCCCCTTAGCTGTGAGTCAATTGACTAAGCTGTAAAGATTTCCTAATTAGTCCAATGGGGGTTTAATATTACCAGTGTTGTTGATAAGCCTTCTCATAAAGGAGTACAGTATTATAATTACTTGGCAAATGAATTACTATGAACACTAACTATTTCCTTCCACATGTTAAGAAAAGCAATCATAATGGTAATCTAGAGAAAAAAATCAACTGGGAGTCAGAAAACCTAGATACCACAGTTGGGATGGATAGTTAACCTCATTCACCAAAGATATGCCTTTTATACTTTAAGTTTTAGGGTACATGTGCACATTGTGCAGGTTAGTTACATATGTATACATGTGCCATGCTGGTGCGCTGCACCCACTAACTCGTCATCTAGCATTAGGTATATCTCCCAATGCTATCCCTCCCCCCTCCCCCCACCCCACAACAGTCCCCATAGCGTGATATTCCCCTTCCTGTGTCTTTTCATTTATCTATAATATGGTGAGTTCAACCATATGATCTTTAAAGTATGATCTTTAAAGGTTTCTGTTTGTTGTTTCTACACATGCATCACTGGGAGAATACTAGTGTTGTTTTGGAAGCAGAGACAATGGATTCACCCTGACTTTGGAGGTTTTTTGCTTATTCTTCTTTTAAACAATGATGCACATTTACATGACAGCCAGCCTATTTGGAGAAAAAAAAGTCAGTGTCATAAAAGAAAAAGCATAAAATGTAGTCTAACTCTGACTGAATAGCCTACTATAAACAAATGACTTTTCATTTGGAAATTGTTGAATGTAATTTTTTATCCTTCCTTAGAATGTCCTTATCATTTAAATAATGTATTTCCAGTACAAAGAAATATAAATATTAAAAGCATTTTATCTATTTGTTTGTCAGTAGATGCAAAGGAGTGATAATTGCCTGACAGGTGTGATAGATATGGAGCCCCAAACAACTCTCCTTGAGTAGGAGCTACACAATTTGGATCATATGAACATGTAAATTTCCTGTTCTTTGCCATCTATCATTTATCCATGCATCCAAATCATGACCTCCTTCGCATCTCCATGACTAGAATGAGATAAATCATGTTTTGTTTTTTGCCTAGGGATACTTGAGAAATCATTTAATCCAACTTTCTCATGTTGTGGCAGAGTAGAGAGCCTTGGGCTGGAAGTCAAATGAACTGGAAATTAGTTCTTTATGGTGGCTCCACTTATTACTCCCTCAGCAACATTTGGCCATCTACTCTTTCCAAATATATTTCTTCCTGTGTACGATGGGACTTATACCTATTTTTATCTCATTGGGCCATTTGTAATCAAAGTAGATAAAGGATATAACATCGCTCTCAACAGCCCACTGTTAATGGTTTTTCTCCTCAAAATTCCACAGTCTTGGTTTTCAACCATTATGTAGCTATGGAGGTCCTGAGTTTGGGGGAAGTTGAAGGGGTGGGATTATAGCTAGAAAAAGAAAATGTTCATAAAAGTGCAACCTGTTTTTCCTTTGTGCCAGACTAATGTGAACTACCATTACTGATGAGATTTGTTATGCTTGTGACTAATATTCAATGGCTGTGTCAGTTGGAAAGAAGCTGAAATCTGTTCTGTAACATTGATTCTCATATTCTCAAAGACCTTGCAGATGGGCTACAGATTTATTGAAAACACAACTTGCCGTTTACTTCTTATAGTTTAATGATACAGTTCCATAGCCATTCATTTTCTGTAAGATTAGGGCTACTTCTTAGTAAACAGTGAGTATACATTTTAGTATTCAAAACCTAAAATTAGTGCATTTTTTGAATTTTCTTAGAAATTCTACCTGCCAAGTAGCATTGTACATTATAAATGTTCTTTGACATCACAAGTTTTCAAGAAAAAAATTTTGTTTTAAGTATATTGTTAGTGTAGTCTTAAATAAGGTATGTTTTTCAGCTGCTACTCATTTCATTAAATGTCTCTTTGTATAAACAACCTGAGTCAATCATAATCTTTTAAACATTTCTTCAAAGAAGTTAACATGCTCATGGTAATAAAAATGCAGAGTTTAAAGTTAAAATAGACTACTTTTTAATACGGGTCATGTACATGAATATCATTATAAAATTCTAAATGAGAAATTAACATAAAATATAACTGAATGTTGAAAGTATATATTAGTACTATTCCCAAAATGATGTTCTAATATTAATAAATGTAATGATATAATTAATAATATTAGATATGCAAACTTCTCCACTATTCTTTATGATACAGAGATGTATTAAGTTTCAGAATGGAAATTGAGATGTGAGTGTGAGAAAGTTCAGTCTAGCAAGGTCTCTCAGGTGATTACCAGTCCTATCAATTGAGTCATTTGAATCTGCTCTAGCGGCAAACTCACTTTCACTTGACAGGAGGAACTGTAGCTGGTCAGAATACCCAATCTAGAGAATATGTCAAGGGTTGAAAAATAACAATTATTGCCCAGCAACCAAAACAAACACACTTCAATCCCCTGAGGGAGCTTATGTTCTAGCAGGATATGTAGAAAATAAATACCAAATATAATAAGCAGAGGAAATGTGTTATGTGTTAGAAGGTGAATTAAAAAAAAAAGGTCAAGCAGAGTAAAGAATGGTGCTGTGGTTGGGAAGAGGAAGAGAATGTGGTATTCCATTGGGTGGTCAAGGTAGGCCTTATGGAAAAGATGATAATGAAGGACTTAAAAGACATGAGGGAAGGAGATAGACTGGAGGACATTTGGGAAATAAGTGTTCCCAATAAAATGAACAAAGTAAGATAGGAAGATACTTTTATGGTTTAAGAAAAAGCAAGAAGTTAGTGTGAGTGATATGCAGTGATATGCGAGATATGTGCAAATAGTCACAGAAAAGGGTCAATTAAATTGGACTTTAATGACTCACTCTGTGTAGGATTTTGAGCCATTAAGTGTATTAAATAAAGGAGTGATGATATCTAGGATCCATTTCAAATGGGTCATTCTGGCTGCTGCATAGAGTATAGATTATGGCAGAGAAGGCATGAGTTGAAAGAAATAAGTCAAACATGAAATAAGTACAGTCATCCAGATGAAGTATGATGGTGGTCCAATTGGGGTGGCACCAGGATATGTGGTGAAAAATGACTTGATTGTGTATATATTTTGAAGGTAGTGTTGACATGATTTTCTCACAGCATAGATGTGTAGTGTGACAGAAAGTAACTAATAAAAAAGATAAAGAGAGTTTAAATAATAATTATTATTATTGTTATTTGCCATTAACTGAGATTGAAAACCAACAAGTGGTACAGATTTTTCAGGGGAAATCAGTTCATTTTTAGATATTTTAAGTTTTTAAAAGTCTATTACACATCCAAGAAGAGATCTTAAGATGCCTGTGGTGTATATAAGTCCAGAGCTTTGGGCTGTAGTCATACATTTTGGGGTTGTCAGCATATTGATGGTATTCTAAAGACATGGGAATCACTGAGATGACTACAAGAGCAAATTAAGGACCAAAGACTGAGCCCCACAGCACTACAGCACTAAGGCATTACTGGCTCAGGAGAACTAGGGAGCAAGTTCCTAGAGTTGGTGACATCAGACCAGATAGATAAAAGGGAAGAGCTCATTTCTGGAACTTGGTACATGTTTAGTTAAAATAGCTACAGTTTACTAATGTTATAGATCTACTTAACTACTATTTCTTAACACCCTATAAGGACATTTATTGATTTCAGCGTTAATTCCTTTTTACATGCCTTTGGTAGTGAATGAGGAAGAGTGAGAAGAGTGGTAGTGGCACTAAACCAGGTCAGTCAATGTGCTGACAAATATAAAGCTTACATTCTTTGTTGTTGTTTCAAGTCTGATAGACATGAGGGAAGTGGTGAAAAGAATAAGGACAAAGATCTCTAGAAAAGTTATAATTCATAAAATGTTTGAAAATAACTGACATGCCAATACAAATAAATATCCATTAATTTTCATTCTGTAATAATTTTAGTCATGAAATAATAGCAAAGCAAAGTAATATATCTTAACTTTTTGATTTTGCTAGAAAAATACTCACATGTACCAAATAGTTATTGTAGTTATGAAAACCAAAACACTGTTTTCCCTAATTTAACAGGAACACTCTTCTTGGGGTATTCATGGAGTCCTTGAAACATTGAAATACCATTTAATAAAAAAACTAATTCATCTTTCCTAATGTCATTCAATAAAATTGTCATTTGGTAAGGCCGTCATTAATTACTCAACTGGCAGAAATAATTATTTTTAGATATTCTCCTTTTGGAAGCTCAGCAAAAAGAAAGCAAAAATTGCCTGTGCAGAATAAGCAGCTGGAGGTTTCTACATAGTCAGCATTTAAAGGTGACTTCTGATCTGTTGTTAAGAAAGAAACACTCCTTTGGAAAAAGAGCATATGGTACTTTCCCCTCACCCTTTGCTTACTTTATAAGTCATTCATAGAAAAATTAGAGGCTTGACAACAGCATAATTTAATCCTTGATACTTGCTATTTTTTTCCTAAAGATCTACATCAAAAATGACACTGGTGCAATGGGATTTTACTTTCCCCTTACAGAGCAAAGATGTTGCTGATTATACAGGTCTGAAAATGAAAACACCAAGATAACAAATTTAAAGGATCCAGGAATTTAAAAAGAAAGTATACAAGCTGTACATTGAAATATCTTAGAATATGCTTCAGGATATGAAAGTCATAAACTCCTATGTGGGGCTGACTTTTTGATTTATAGCTAATTTTCTTTTCCTTTTTTTTTTCACAAGCACTTGACTTGTAAACAGTACGTACTTACAAATGGAAGCTATGAAGTCAGTGGAGCACTGCTCTGTGTTTCTCGATTTAGATTAAGTATTAATCAATTTGTCTTGGTACCTTCACTTACATGGCTCTAGAGGTAAAAACACTTAAAAAATTACTGGCACCCATATTCTCTGTAAGAAGTGTAAAAGTGTTGTGTTTTCTATTTCAATGAAATTTAAAAATAATTACCTTAAGAATATATCTGAAACATATTCTGGGGTACATTACAATTAAGTACTGCTAAGTGAGATCAGTATACACAGTTGCTGAGAGATCAAAATTGTTAAATAATGAAAAAAACAAGGTGGAGTGCACATGATGCATACTGACATCAAAGAAAGGCCATAGTTCAAATAGAAAAGAAGAGTAGGACAATTGAGCCATCTCCTGGTCCTATAGTGTATCAACTTTCCAAAGTCAAAGAACCTGTAATGAACCAGTAAACATAATATTCACGTTTGGAGTAGTAATATAATTTCTGAGTAAAACACCATTCATAGTATTAAATTGTTATTCTAAATTTTAATTTCGATAATTTTATACATTTTTAAAGTTAATAGATTTTTAAGACTTCAAAATTATTAACATAAGAATTTTATACTGTTTGGGAATATTGTGATGAAAATAATTTGTCAAAAGATGGCAGAGTAAAATTGGATTACAGAAGTCACAAAGATAATATCTAAAGAAATAGACACACACACAAATACAAAATAAAATAAGATACAAACAACAATTCATCAGCAAAAAAGCAACAAAAAAAGAGTTTCAAATTCATGCCATGAAATCTGTAACATGAAATCCAACGAAAAGTTTGTATCTGCAAGCTCTTGATGGAGTGTCTAAGCTTTTCATCCAAAAACAAAATAATAAAAATAGTAGACAGGAATCTGAATAATTATTAGTTGTCTGGAGTTACAGGAAAAGAAATTTATGCAGATAGGTAGCAGAAAGAGGATTGAGAGTGACAGAGATAGAGAAATAGAAATAGAAAGAGACAGAGACACTGAGGAGGGTGGGAAGGGAGAGATAGAAAGAGAGAGAGGAGAGAGAAGACTTTGTAAAATGCGATGAGATCTAAAGATGTCGGTAGAGATTAGATAACCAGGGCTTTGCATTTCCAATACATTCACGGTAAAATTAGTAGCGATATGGAACTTGAGCATACCCTCTTGGGTAGGATACACTTCCTTACTAATGCGGTGAAATCTTTTTACAGACAGTTAAAAAAACACATAAAATCAAACTAGGCAGTAAATATTTCAAGTTCTCTAACATTAATTGTTTACAGCTCTAGTTGTGGGCATAATTGCCTGACAGCTATAAAACAATATTATCAAAAAAGAGAAGAAAGAAAATATAACTGGAAAAAGACAAAGTATCAAATTGTTAATTTTTTGAAAAAGAATATTTTTTTGAATACCTCCTACCTTCGAGGAATTTAACCAGAACTTACTTCAATAGAATAATAATTCAAAGATACATTAAGAAAATAGAAAATGGTATTTCTGAGCTTTAAAAACAAATTTAGGAAAAAACAGACATCATTAACTGAACAAATAAAGGAACTGGGAAAAGACAGGATTGGAAAAGTAAAGATAAATCTCAAATAACTGCCACAGAAGAAAGGAATGATATTATTTTTAATGCAAAAGAAAAAAGACAAAGATATTAAAGCAGTTGGGAAGATATAAAAGTTAAAAAAATCACAAATGTAAGTAATTTCTGCTGTCAAATATTCAACAAATGGAACAGAAAAATACATTCACAGATACATTAGGGAAAATAGTGCTGTGAAATGAATAACTGATTTTAAAGATGTAAAAGATCACACCATGTTTTATGAAAAATTGATACAAAGTGGAACATACTGAGACATATTCTAGTTTAGTATTACATTTCAATGACACCTGAATAAATTTTCATGCACACAGGCAAATGCAAAAGAGAATGTAAGATGGAAAATCCGGTTTGCTTCAGACTTTCCACAGCTAGGTTAAATATCGAAGAAAATGGAGTGATCTCCTTAAAATTCTAAGGAGAAAATATCCAAAAATATAGCCAATTCATAATTCAATTTCATAGGTACTTTATATTTATGAAGGCAGTAGGCAATTACTGTGAGATACAAAAATACAGGGAAAAATAATACCCTTAAGTTACTCCTGAAAAACTGCTTACTGTTCTAACTCAGCTAACTAGAAGGTGAATCAAAAGTTGCAAATCAGGAATAAAGTATAGAAATGGAAAAATGAACTAAGAGTAAGTATTTAATTTCTCACGCAGATATAAAACTGAGCTTAAACCAACTGAGAAACTTGTGTCTACAGAAAATAGTAAAAGTGTCATGAACTTTGATAATTCAAAAATGAAAATACAATCATTTTAAAGCAGGAATTTGCAGAAAGAAAGAAAGAAAGGGTAAAAACATGAGAATTCTGGTTTCCTCATCCTTTATAGTAGGTAGTCATTTTGCTAATATAAAATTGAAATTTGGAGAAAAAATAATGGTTTCAGTTCTTTATGGTCTATCTCAATCTTTTACTCTTAACTTTAAATAAATATTTTAGGTATTACGATCATTTTGTTTTATTTAAAGAAGGAATAATTTATCTGGCACTTAAATTTCAATTTATTTCCTTTTTATCCTAAAAAATCAAGAAATACTACATTTAATACTTTTAAATAAAATGCATGAATATGATATACTTTTTAATAAAATATTTTATTAATATGTAACTCATTTAATTTGTTAGTATGCATGCACAGAAAGAAACTGGAATAATGCTCTGTCAAGTATTTTTTCTTGGTGATGAAATGCCAAAGGGTTTTATAAACTTTATTCTTTATACATTTATACATTTATAAACTTTATGCTTTATACATTTTTGTATTGTTTGACTTCAAAAAAATTGTTTGACTTCAAAAAAATAAACATATGTGATTCTTTATAAATATGATAAAATCATTACCCCAAAATGAAAAGGGGTCTGTGCAAGACACATGTTTGTACAACATCAGTTTAACACTGTGCCACCAGAGGTGTGTGCCAGAAGTGTGCCACCATTGTGCCACCAAGACTGTTAGGCATTGCCCTGGGTAATAGAGGAGTCTGAGGACTTTTTGTTCACAGAATTTTTGACCTTGATATCATGGCACATGCTATTCTTAGTCCTACCTGATGGACAAGGCTATGAAGGGTCTTTTATTAAGTTTTTAATGTAAGACAAAAGCAGTCAGCCTCTGTGTTTGGAAACCATGTTGTATTAGTCTGTTTTCATACTGCCATAAATGACTTCCCAAGACTGAGTACTTTATAAAAAAATGAGGTTTAATTGACTCACAGTTCAGCATGGCTGGGGAGGCCTCAGGAAACTTACAATCATGGTGGAAGGTGAAGGGGAAGCAAGGCACCTTCTTCACAAGGCGGCAGGAAGAAGAGCTAAGCAAAGGAGGAAGAGCCTCTTATAAAACCACCAGATCTCATGAGAACTCATTCACTATCACAAGAACAGCATGGAGGAAACTACACCCATGATTCAATTACCTTCACCTGGTCTCTCCCTGACACATGGGGATTGTGGGGATTATGAGGATTACAACTGTAGATGAGCTTTGGATGGGGACACAAAGCCTAAACGTACCACATGACCAGTGTCCTTTCAATCCTGCCAAGCACTATAGTCTTTCAATCTCATTTCTTAAAAGTCTACTTTTATGTTTAGTAAAAATCCAGATGGTAAACCACAGGATATGTTGGCATATCTCCTGTCTTTATCCAACTAGTACCAGTCCTGAATGGAGGACTAATAACCTGGTAGAAATCAGAGGACAAGGAAGAAAAGCAGTATTAATTTTAAAACACATATGTATATGGTAAAACTAATGATTTGAAGATTAAAAATCTGCAAAGCATGGCAAATATTCAAATATCCTTCATTCTAATGGAAAAATTCACTGATTGACAGTGAGATTTTGTTTCTTGTCAGCTACAGCAATAACCTTTAGACTTGATGCTGACATCAACACACGACAACAAGTTCTCTGTTAGAAAGCAAACAGAGCCATCTCCACTTCAAGAATCTTCAATGGCTATTGCACAAAATCATTTATCCAATAATCCTAATTTTTTAAATACCTAAATATTATAGCCTTAAATGTCTCATAATAAGAACTCCTTAAATATGTTTATTTATATTTTAATTCTTGTTTTGAGTGGAAGAGTTATTCCTGAAGAATAATTTTTGTAGAATCACCTTCTGGAACCTTGGTGGATATGTTTTAAATGCAGTATTATTTCAATTTAAAGTAATATTCTTCAAAATAAATGGATGAAAAAGGGCAGTAGAATCCTTCTTCATGTGACATTGGCATCTGAAATTCTACTTCTGTATTTTATTCTTTAGAAATATAAATAAATTTAACAATTAAAATAATTTACTTTTATTACTCCTAAAATATCTACCAACTTTGAGGAATCCTTCCCTCCCTCCCTCCCTCCCTCCCTCCCTTCCTTCCTTTTTTCTCTTCGTTACAATGAGAAATTTTTTTGCAAGCATTTATTGAGCACTATGTTTAAACATTGTGCTAAATACTGGGAATATATAAAATAGGTATGGTCCATGTTCTTGCTTATATCAAAATTCAGTTCTGGATAAGAATTGCTAAGACTCAAAGACTGCAAGGCTTTTGAGGTCTGTGACTCCATTTTTTAAGTACAGTAACATCTTTAGCTAATGATTGAAAGGAACTGTTGATGTTATATATGCATATATTTTGTTCTCACATTTTAGTTTTAAGCATCTTTGAATAATATTTTTCCCATCGTCTGAATACCTGCCCAATGTGTCATTAATATATTGTGCTGATTCTCTCCTCTAAGTTTTCAATCTTATTTCTCTGCCCTGGAATACTCCTTCATACCTCTTCTTCATGGAAAATGTCTTCATTTTCTTCAAAGTGCATATCAATCATGAAAAGTTCTTTAATTTCAATAGGTCTTATTATTTTTTAATCTATAAACAGATCATTTATAGATAGTAAACACAGTTTAACAATTAAACTATATTGCATTCTTCACATGTTAGTCTTATATCCTGAGTGGAATGTAAGTACCTAAAGAGATCTCTTTGTTCTTAGAAACTACATGATAGGATCTTGAGAACTACTTATTCATTGAAATACTTCCTCTTCTAAATGCATTCATTAACAGACGTTGGAAGTAGGGTTTTCAGATTAAGAAAAAATACAAGAAACAAGACATTTAGTTTAATTTGAATTTCAGATAAATAGTTAATTTTTTGCATGTAGGCTTGTCCCAAATATTACATGTGACATACTTACACCAAAACATATTATTTGGTGCTTTTCTGAAATCCAAATTAAATGTGCATCTTGCATTTTATATAGCAACCCTTGTTGGAAGCAAAAATTTACAAAAAATATTGTTAGCTGTTCCTGTTAGTAGATTAGAAGCTCTGTGTGTGTGTGTGTCTGTGTGTATGTGTGTGTGGGTGGGTGGGTGTGTAGCATAATCTTCAAAGGAACAAATACAAAGAGCAGTTTTTACTTTTACTTTGTGGAGTAGGGAGTTTTTTCTTTATGTGTGCGTGCAGGGAGTTTTTTCTTTATGTGTGCGTGCAGGAATGTGCCTATGTGTGCATACATGCCATAGTCTCATTGTAAGAGCACCTGACACTATCAGTTTCTACAGCACTCTTATAAACCGGCAATAGAAAAAACAAAAAACAAAACAAACAAACAAAAAAATCCCACCTGATTCCTAGAGGCATATAAAAGACATCTAGTTGTAATCAGATGCTAGAAAACAAAGCCCTGAAAGTTAAGATCCATTATTGTAGTAAAAGATACATAAGCCTTTCTATAAGCTACATTTCATTTAAGAAAGCATATCTAACTGTTTCAAATTCATTTCGATATATTTTCTTTAATTCTTATTTGACTATTGTGCCAATTCATGGCTAAAAATCTGGGCAATTATTTATTGCATTTGGACTTTGTCAAAATGTTGGGTTCAAGAAAACATTTTCTGCCAAGTTCCTCTACTTTCACGCCAAGTAATTTTCAATTGGTTTATAAGCCCATGTGTATTTTAAATGAAATGAATACATGCATTTTAGATTCCTTTACCCTTAACTCACCCAGATGGTTCAGAAGACATCCAATAAACCTTTGATTCATGTTATAAGAAATAGATTGCTTAAAAGTTTTGGAAGTCAAGAAGTGAGGCACCTCATTTGCAAAGAATAAGTGGACCCAAATGTTATAGCTCCATGTGTATGATGACAGTGAGAGTTGCACTCTTCTGAAGTTGGAATGAAGTGTTGGACTGAAACTCACTGAGGTAGTTTTAGTGCTTGGTTAAATGTTTAAACCTAATAATACTGTACTTTACATTTAATATCTACATGTCTTGGAACATACTAAATTCTTTAACTGAACTGATGTATATATAGTCTACTACTTGCCTCATGCACATACTGCCAACATATGAAGAGTATTGTAAAAATTATTATATTCCTGTTTAATGTTAGATTATTTTAGTATGTGAATTTGCTACAACATTGCATTGGAAGTCAGTGATGCAGATGTAACTTAAAAGCAGAAGAAATGGCTTCATCCTATCATGTATACCTGAGGTCTTTACAAAGTTTTAATGTCTAGATTCTAATGAATCACAGGTAATAAGAAAACACTTTTGACATTTTATTTTGATTTTTAATTAATTATATGCTAGATATGAACCTCTGCAAGAACACAGATATGCACGATACATATCATTTTCTATAATGAAATTATTTTCAATTTCTCCCCCTATTAACCACTTGGTGGAAACTCCTTCTCAGCCAAGACAACCCCCCTTTTCCTAGTGTTGGGCCAAGTATTGGAGATGAAGGGACTTACAGAGTGCCAAGGCTTTGTAGGAGGGACTAGTTATCCTTTTGCACCTGACACTTGAGGAGATGTTCCCCATTGCATCTGCTGGGCCTTCAGTCCATATAGATTGCTACTGAGATGTTTCTTTTTCCTGTCCTCATGCTCCTTCACTTATAGTGGAGTTCTGTGTTATGGTTACCACATGGAAGTATGTGGAATTTAGATATTTTTACATTACTATGGAGCATGGAAATCTTTCATTCTCATTCTCCATCTTGAGTTCTTTGTCAGTAAAGCAGGACACTGGACCTGCGAACATTTATGTGCTCCTTTTTTCCCTCTTATTTTCCTTTCTGTTTCTCCCTAGATTACAGAAAGGTACAGTCTAGTTCTCTCAAGGACTTATGAAATACTTTGTCTATGCCAACCGACCTCTCTAAAGACCAAGATTTAAGTAAACCAAAACCAGAAAAAGCACAGACCACCAATTAGCCTAAATGTGTGAATTGGTGTAAGGACTGAGGATAGAAAGGAAAGGTGTGGTATTCCGGGAAGCAAAACAACTCAGCAGCTTAATCATTACTTTTAATTTTTTTTTTAAATTTTGCCTTGAGTTCTGGGATACATGAGTAGAATGTGCAGGTTTGTTACGTAGGTATACATGTGCCATGGTAGTTTGCAGCACCTATCAACCTGTCATTAAGATTTTAAGCCCACATGCATTAGGTATTTGTCTTAATGCTCTCCCATATTTTGCCCCCCATGTCCCAACAGGTCCCAGTGTATGTTGTTCCCCTCCCAGTGTCCATGTGTTCAGAAATATATTCCCATTACTTACTAATCTATCAATGCCTTGCAGAGAACACTTTTGCAGTAAAATAGTACTGCAACAATGGACTTGAAATCTGTGAATTCAAAGTCACTGAAAATAGATTTGAATCATGGCTATTTAAAAACACAAAAATAATTTAAAAGCAGTACCCTGATATAGAGGTGCTTTAAAATTAGCCTAGCATAAGGGATTCGAGGGATTGGGAGGCTGCTTTAGAGGTGAATGAGATAGAAAGGGTTCAGCTTATGCTCAAATTTATACTCCCTAGAATAACAACTTCTGGTGATTCAAGAAGGAAAATAAATTATTTTCATTCAGTCTATATAAATTATAAGTATTAAACTGAAGAATAAAAAATAAGTTGGAACACATTCAAGACCATAAAAATTAGAAAAATATCTGTTCAAAATATATTATGTGGATTTAATGAACATTATAACTGGAGTTCCTTTCAGTAAATAATAATTTCATATTACAGTTGACCCTTGAACAACACAGGCTTGAACTGCATGTTCCACTCATACACACATTTTCTTCTGCCTAGGTCACCTCTGAGATAGCAAGACTAACCCATCCTCTTCCTCCTCCTCCTCAGCCTACTTGATGTGAAGATGATGAAGATAAAGACATTTATGATGATCCACTTCCACTTAATGAATAGTAAATATATATTATTTTCCTTATGATTGTCTTAATAACATTTTCTTTTCTTTAGTTTACTTTGTTGTAAGAATACAAAATATGTGTGCTAATGAGCTGTTTATCACTAAATCTTCCTTTCAACAGTAGGCTATTAGTAGTTAAGTTTTGGGAAAGTCAAATGTATATGTGGATGTTTCACTGCGTGGAGTTAGCACCCTCAACCCCCACGTTGTTCAAGGGTCAACTATATTTGTTTTAAGGTTCTATGCTGTATACAGAGGTGCAAACTAAAAACTCTTCAGGAGCCAGACAAGTAAGTTAAATATGGATAGGTTCAATTCTAATCCCATAGGTGTTGATGGGAATTGAAAATTTAGCTCTATGAAAAGATTCACTGCGTAGGCCGAACAGAACACATCTGCAGGCAACATCAGGGGCTCTTAGGACACTGACAAAGCATCATATATCTTGAAAATGATTAGGAAGAATTTAAAAATAAATTATGAAGTAAATTAATTACCTTGTAAAGTATGATATCTAGGCTTGAAGTTTTGAGGAGGAAATTCCAAAACAATTCATTTCATTATT
The DNA here is from genome assembly GCF_000001405.40 of Homo sapiens. Lineage (NCBI taxonomy): Eukaryota > Metazoa > Chordata > Mammalia > Primates > Hominidae > Homo > Homo sapiens. The sequence continues at coordinate 95,177,484 of NC_000006.12, read as the reverse complement.
ATGCAAAGAAACTTTTGTGCTTTGCCTCTCCTTTGAGAGTCTGCAGCTCTTACCTTAATGCTCCCCTTTCATCTTTTCAAAATAAACAGTAGCAATATCCTTGTAAAGAATCGGGATTTACACCTTTTAAAATGTGATTCTCACTATATGAAATTGGCACTCTTATTAAACTATAAAAGCCAACTAAAATAAAATGTAAATCTATGTTTAAAAATATTTTAATAAACGGAGAGATACTGAGCTACTGACCATTGCAGACATTGCTTGGTTTACTGACAAATTTGGATATAAAAGTTTCCATATACATCTTGCTTTCATAGGCTTGTCATTACTCTTCTATTGTATACCATTGGCAGTAAGTTTTAAAAATTATCGGTATTATTTCTAGATTTTTACATTTTCCATATTGCATTTAAATACGTTTTGTCATCTGAGCTTCACCCGACCACAACTTTGTCTTTATTTGAACTTACATATAAGGAAACTGAAATTCTACGAGATTATGTGATTAAATGTAGGCATCAAATCAATAGTAAGAACAAAACATAAACCTGAATTTTTTCTATTTTAGACTGGTTTTTATCATGCCTGGAGACTTCAATAGAAACATAGTTATATTTTATTATCTTTCTCCCAAACATCTTTTAACTATTTTTTTAACTTGTCTTCTAAACCTACCTGTAAAGGAAATATGATTGGTCTCAGAATACAGTCATGGGAAAGAGACATTTAGGAAGTTTAAGTTCTTACTAGAAATCAAGCAGTGATTCAGAACAGACCCAACAGAGAATGAAGATTTTCTGACTCCTCTCGGGAAGCTTTGTTTTCTGTTCTAGCGTGAGCCTTGCAAGAAAGCAGTAACTCTTCATTTAGCTTAATATAATTATTCTGGATTCATTCACCCATAGACTAAATGGCTCTGTAGTTTACATGCTCTTTTACTTACAGTTTATGGTTTTAATTATAGCTTTCATCACTTCCTTTGACCTGTCATTCCTTTGCAAGATTCTTTCATTCCCATTGGCTGTTGATGGCAATGTTGCAGATATTTTACTTCAGGCCTGTGTTTTTGTTCCATTTATGCTAATGACAAATCCTACACTTCTAACATGCTACTTAGGGTAGAATTCAGTGGAGTTAATTATATTCCCTGCATAATGTAATTCTGAACTCCCTGGGATGAAAATAGCATTAGAATTTTCTATAATTTTATGTTTGCTCTCTCATTACTTCTGAGATTTAAACAGATTTAGTTTAGGTGACCTGAAGTTCAAGGTTTTCCTAAGTGAACTGAATGAATTATCTCTGCTTTCCATTTAGCAATGATGTTTATAAACTGACAATGAAACAGGATGACAGTCTCCTAAGGGTAGCGAGCCAGGCAGGATACTTGTCAGCACCATTACATGTTCGTTGGTTTGTTTTGTATTTTTTCACTGGTTCTTTGTTCATGAAAGTCAAATCACAAAATAATCCTAAAGGATCTTGAGGTCAACCAGGATTGTATTAGCTGTTCTCACATTTCAAGTTTCTGATGAGAAAACATAAAAAGAAAGAAATACAATTATTTCTCAAGCAAAAATAGCCTTTTCATTTATGTCCTACCTATGCATTCATGTGGAATGGTAAATATTGATTTTTGCAAGCAATGATGGCAATTTCTTCCAGTTTTCTCTATGGCCGCATGGTGTAATAGAACAAAGACTTCAGCATCAGACAGTCATGTATTTGTCTGGTGGATATACACTATTCCTGCAAGGACAGACTACCTAACAGCTTTAAGTTTCACATGAGAAACTGAGATAATAATGCCTATTTTACACAGATAGTTATGTGGGTCAAATATGATAACATACATTGAAGTTCCTTAATAAAATTAGTAATTATTCCTAAGTTTTGCACTTATATATTGGTGGTAGTTATTTAGACTAATTTACTTACCCCAAATTTACAAAATTCCAGAATATTCAAGAAAGTATCCTTAGAAGTGTCTAAGTTATCTTGCATTATGCTTACTCCTAGTCACACTAGGCTAAACACAGTGTTAAGTTTTAATAACAACAGATCCCATTTTCAGAGTCTCTGGGACCCATGCCCTTTGAGTTCTTCCACTGTGGCTCAGGTAGGTCAGCAGAGTTTCACAGGGCCTTTCCAATGGTCAAAATTTACATTTTCTTCCATCAGAGCCATGTCTTATCTGCCATTTCTAGGTGAACTGACAGCACAACCTTAATATCTCCTGTCATTGCTGAGGTTGATTGACAGACTCTCAAGCAATCTGGTCATCTAGATGACTTTCTCACATTTCTAATATTATGAAAGGTGTTATTATGTAAATAGATATTGAGCTGAAGTAGTAGAACATATTCTTCCCATACCCAACTCCACCCTGAAGAATTATATTGTAATTCATTACTAGGCCACAAAATATAATTGCATTTTTAAAAATCTTCTTAAACTACATGTAGTGATAGAGCTTTTTCATTTCACTTACTTTTTTCTCTATAGGTACCAAGGAATAAGCCAAAAGAAAATCTGACATGCATCATTACTAAAATAAAAATTTTCCTTAGAGCCAACCCTAATCCTTATCCATAATTGTGAACCTCAACTGTATCTGTCCTCTGGCTAGCTTCCTACTTTATGAGTTATTAATGCCTTAAAAGTTGGGCAGCCATTAGTCTCCAATCAAAAGGCAATAAATTGTTTCATGAATACAAGAATGCCAACTGGTCTCCTTCATAATTCCTCCACACATTTTTAGATTTAGATAAATTATCCAAGGTAAAATGCATGATTTCTCTTCATGTTACTGTGGCTACTTAAGATATGTGAGGATGCTCATCTATGTCATATAATTGTGGTCAAAATTTATTAAAAATACCAGAGACCAATTTACATATGCATTATTGACTAAACTAATAAGCATATATTATGATAGAGCTATTATTATTTACAGTCATGTTTTTGCAATTCTGTTCTTGATGCTAGCTTTATGTTATACTTATCTGGTCTTGAATTACAAATGAATCATATTTCCCAGGAGGCTGGATTCATATTCAAAATATTTATCAGATATCGTTGTAAAAATGACAGGTTATTTAGGAGGCTGGAGGTTGGAAGGAGGGAGAGGATACGGAAAAATAACTAATGGGTACTAGGCTTAATACCTGGGTGATGAAATAATCTGTACAACAAACCCCCATGACACAAGTTTACTTGTGTAACAAACCTGTACATATACCCCTGAACTTAAAATGAAAATTTAAAAAAAAGAAAGAAAAATCATGGACTAAGCTAATTTTAAATGTACTCTTTTACATAAACTGAAAGTATTTTCTAACTTCTGGGGCTCTAATTGAGAAGGTCATTATATTTGTATGTTCATATGAGACACTTGTAACTATACCTGTGGAGTTTTAAAAGTTGAGTCAGACCTACCTATGGCATATAGAATTTTGCATGGGCTTATTATTTGTTACAGAACATCATAGGGTTTCTAGGGAAGCAAAAGTATTTTCTTCCTAAATATAATTGAATTGCTAGCCTATTCAGAAGAACCTATTTGCATTAAAGTAGTGATGTTGCTTCCTAACCTTCCATGAACTACTAAAAATGTCTTTGAAAGATTTGAAATGTGGGATTCTGTACTATCACCTGGTACACTAAAGTTGAAATTAAAGATGGGCTTAGATAAGAGATCTTATTTTCTTTTTAAACAAATGTGAGTTTTCCATTAGATTATTGTCTCTATGGTCGTCCCACTGAGCTGTAAATTATTTCCATTATTGTATCATGTACTTCATTTCTGTTGTCCCGGAAACAAACCATAATTGCCTTTTTAATATTTATGTATTTGATTCAAATGCTTCTTTTTTAACTAAAGGAAAAATGAACTCTTTAACAAATTGAAGGGCATCTCAATCTCTATAAAACTTCTTTTTTATTTCCATTTTTAACCTTTCTTTTGTATTAGTTCTATAATATGAACTGAAATAAGTTCAGACGTTAATGCCATTAACAAATATTTGTATAAAAATTGTATATTCAACATTAAAACTGTTAGTATTTATTTACTAAAAGTAAATGTGATAATCAAATACTCCAAATTATATTAAATGTCATTGTTAGTAAGTTGAAAAAGATGCTTGGTAAGTCACACAAATTATTGCGAAGAAAGCTAATTCTGACCCCTTAGTATTATCTATTGTCATGCTGCAGTGCTCACATAGTGGGGATACAATGAATAAAATCACATATTGTTATACTGGAAGGCTCATTTAAGATTGGCTGTTTTAAAGAAGTTTACCAACCTCTTAACACGGCCAAAAGACTATCACTTCATACAAATTTAAAACCAATTATGTTAAAACATCACTTTTTAAAAATAGTATTTTATTTCAATATCTAAGTGTAATTTCATGAATCACCTGTAAATATCCTGGGAATATTGTAGTAAGTGGTGATATACATTTGTATCTTATCCTACTACCATCATAATTTTAAAGAAAAAAATAGAATGTAATCTAATATGTAAATTAGATACTAGTATATATTGTGTAAACAGATTTTGGTTTTTAAGAATAACATTATTATATAAGCTAGAGACATACAAAAATTTCCTAAAAATTATTAAAACAGCATAATCCTAAACTTTGAATGTAAGCTCAGTACATATCAATCACCTCACAGATGTTTTTTGAGTCAAAGAGTATTTTTTTAAAAAACTTGCAAACTAATACTGAATATAAAAATAGGAAAAATAAAATTAAAGACAAAAATTTCTTGAGCCATGATTGTGCCGTTTGGGCAACAAGAGTGATATTCCGTCTCAAAAAAAAAGACAAAAATTTCAGACAAAGGAAAAAAATGAATAATAATATTTATAAACATTTCCTAGTTTGAAAGTAGTTAGTTCTTATGGTTTACACATAATTTAAGGAGGAACATCCATACGAGTATTCCTGCCTTTCATTCTAGTCTGTTGCATCTTGTAGGAAGCTTATAAATCTTATCCAATGTATTACAAAAATTATATACCAACATTTATGTTTGGTATTTTGTCTATTATTTAGGCGAAATAATGATTTAAGTGTAATTTAGAATATTCAGTACTTACTACTAATTAATTGCAAGATGAAATTACAGTTTCTTCAAATTACATATTCTGTCTTTCAATCTAACCTTAGATTATTGGCAAGTGATTAGAATTTTTAACAATTTTGAACTAACAGAAACCACAAATTCTGGTTCAACTCATAACTAAAGCAGTGTCCCTTTAAAGATATCACTCTGTGACTTTTGAGAATAATTTCCTGATGTATTTATATGCCAGGAGTAAATCCATGTATCTAACAGTTCTGATCACCTAGGAGGGGCCGCGTTCTGTATTTGAGTTCTGACCAAAGGAATATGAGCACAAATGGGGTTTACTTGCAATCTTGAAGGATCTTTCATTCCCTCTTACTCCCAATTCATTCATTTAGCAGCAAACCTACTAGGTAGATAGCGTATAAACATCTTTAGAGGAAGGCCTCCTCAGATTTCTAGCTGACTGCCTTGGAATATGACAGAAATGACAAGTAAATTTCTATTGTGTTAAACCACAGAGGTCATCAAATAATGCAGTTACTATTATCATCCTGAGCAATACAGAAGAACAATAGTTACACTAAGAATCTCCAAAAAATTGTTTAAAAAACCAGTTGTTTGATTAAGTTAAAAGGGCTAATTATTATAGCATTTTAAACTTAGAATAACATTTTTTCTTGTACAAACTAAATGATGAATGTGTTTTAATAGCATTAGGTTTATACTTATGAAATATAAATGTCACAGAATATTTAGCACTTATTACTTCTTGTCTATCAAAAGCACATTTTGTTATATTTTTGAAACATCATAACACTATCATTTAGACAGCTTTTTGCAGACCTTTAATCAACTTTAAAAACCTTTGTTTTGATAAACTAAACAAGGATAAAAAAGGTTTTATATCTTTTGCTTGCTTAGCATATCTTATATTCTTATCAGTTAGACTTTTATACTCTAACCACTTAAACATTTATTAAATTCATAAAGCTATAGATAAATTACAGTGGAAATACATGTACAAGTAATTAAATGATAAGAATATATTTATCATGTCAATTATATCTTTTTCTGATTTCTTCCTTCTCAGCCAATCAATTACTTAAAAAGTGATGTTTTACTCTCCAACTCTATTAGTGGATTTTTCAATTTCCCTGTAGTTCTATTTTACCCACACATATTTTAATGTTTTGTCTTGTCACCTACATGTTTATTTTTCCTCTTTACCTGTTAGAGTTAGAACTTCATTATGAGAACCTGGTGGGCTTCCTGGAAAAGAAACCACATAAAAGTGTGCTGAGCCCAAAGGCAGCAGCCCCTTCAGGACGTTCTTACTCTTATGCTAATCTATATTCAGTCTCCAGTAATTCATCAAAATTATCATTTAAGTGTTCCTACCAGTTTATGGCTCTATTCCAGTAAGGCAAGGCAGATCCTTATTATGACTCTGTATTACCATGTCTCTGTTTTCCCTGAGACTTCGGATATGTCCAGAAAAAATAGTTGCCTTTTTAATTTTCTCAGCTTTTTCTTGTAATGACAGGTATGATGACCTTGAAGGTATTTTTATGTTGGGCCCCAAACTGAAGTTCCCAGAATATATTTTAAGTGAAATGTGTCAAGTTGTCGAGGGCCAGACGTTATCAGACAAAATTTTAAAAACCATGAGATTTCATATAAAAATAAGGGTTTGTCCTTTTCCTTAAAAATTACAACTGTTGGCAATGCTGAGTGTACAATTCTGCACAAAGGTATAAGCTGGAGTCAGTGACAGATGCCTCCCTATAGACCAAGTGTGTATTACTATATTTATCATATTAAAAATGTATTTTATTTATGTAACCTTCCCCAATCCAAAAGCATTTTGGTTTGCCACTGAAATGCAATTCTGACTCTAAGTATCTGGAGCTAGGTGAAATTTCACAGATAAGGACAGTTTCCCACAGAACTACCCTTACTTCAGACACTAGCCACAAGCACCTATGCTCTGACAAAACAGTCTGAAATTTGAGAGTTCCTGCTAACCCCTCAGGAATTCAATAATTCACTAGAAGGACCCAGGAAATTCAGGAATTCAGGAAAGTGCTAGTAGTGTTAACAGTTTTATTATAAAACATGCAAATCAGGGTGAGCAAAATAAGAGATTCATAGGGAAAGACCTGGGAGGGTACTAGAAGCTCCATCATCCTCTGGACCTGTCACCCCCACATCCATGTGGATCACCAACCAGGAAGGTCACTGAACCTTCAGTTCGTAGATCTTTTATTGGGATTTTGTTATGAAGGCATGAGTTACTGAATCCTTGGCTGTGTGGTTCAACTCACTCTCCAGCTCCCTCCCTTCCCAAGAGGACCTGCTGATATTGCATGGCTCAAAGCCCCAACCCTTTAATCACATGATTGGAACTAATCTCCAACCTGAGTCATCTCATTATTATAAACTATCTAGGAGTCAATCATAAGTCATCTCATTAGCGTAAGCTTATGTGTGCTACCAGAGGACCACCATGAATAACAGACATTCCTATCACTCAGGAAATTCCAAGGGTTTCAAGGGTCCCAATCAGGCATGGGGGAAAAGGCCAGCCAATTTCTTTTATTATACAACAGTAACCTATATTTTGAGGCAAGTTCTTGGAACATATAAAACTGCAAGCAAGAAATTCAGTAACAGTGAGAAAGTATCAGTGAGAAATATCAGTGAGAAAAAATAGAAGTTAGTGTGTCAATAAAGAGGATTAGAGTCTACTATACAAATGCTAATTATTAGTAGCTAAATAATTGTTATAGTTGAATTCCAAATTTAGCAGCTTCATTAAATTTTATAACTCAATCTAGTCAACTTCATTCATTTTACTAGAAATCATAATAGATAGCATTTATAGATTTTCCAGTTTGCATAGTATTACATATTTTAAATATTTATCTCTAAATCTCAGAGCAGTTCTGAGATAGACATTGTGATTTCAATTTTATAGATTACATATGTTTTCCTCAATGACACATGTGAGAAAGTGGCAGAACAAGGATTGAATCTACCTATAAGACAAATTGAAACACTTGAATACATTTTGCAAAAATAAATTAATGTGCCTGTTTAAGGTACTCTAAAGTCACAGAATTGATTGCTAAAACAAAGAGAATAATATAAATAATAATTATATGTGAACATTTTTCTTTAATTCCATGAGAAAAATTGAAAAACTTCTCCTTTGCTTTGCACTGTGTTTAATAAAGTGTTTATAATCTACACAGAAGTAAACCTAGAGATTAATTGTAGTGGAAAAATATAATTGGATAATTTTATGAGACTATGTTTATATTTTTAGATACACATGATGTATACATATATATATATAATTATACTTCAGAATATATGCTTATTACCATATTCAATGTGCTTCTGGATAGTTACTTGGGTGCATTTTATTGCACCTTTTGTTTTGTTTGTACTACTCAATTTATACTTCAGGCTGTAGATAAAAACTTTAAATTGCAGGTGAATGATTCACAGTATCAGAAAACCTTGAATCAATATTTACACCAATGTCTTGAGAGCTTGCATTATTTTTTCCCAATTTTGAAATAGGTAATAAATAATGTAGTCAGTAAAATCTTGAAAATATTGTTTCCGATTTTTTGAGGTATATTTTTAAATATATCAAAATTTTGCCCTCCATTGTCTGACTGCTATCTAATTCCCTATTACTTCTATATAAAAAAGACTGGAATGGATGCTACAAGAAAGGTGCACAAAGAATGATGTAAGATTATATAGGAGAAAATTCTTCACTGCCTCATAAAATCAAGATAGGCTACATAGAATTAAATTTGAGTATTTAAACATAAAAATTAACAAGGAATTTAAAACAATAAAGGAAAATTAATAGTAAAGAAATAATATTATAAAAATGATTTCATGTGACAAAATAGAGGAAAAGATGAGGCTAGATCTAGGCAGAAACTAGATTATGAAAGATCTTTTATTCTATACTCAGAAATTTGTGTTTCAACCTACGGTCAATGGAAAAATGGAAGGATTCTATGCAGGATATTGTCATGATAAAATATACTTCCAAAATTATTCATGTGCTAGCATCAAGAGGTAATTTATTATCATTTGCAAAGTGGTGTTAGTAAATAATTTCATGAACTATAACTGATAAAGGAGTGCAGAATTCATAATTGTATAGCTTGATCAGTTTTCACCACATGGGTGTGCACGGAACCAGGACCCACATCAAGACAAAGAACGGTGAACATTGCTAGCCATCCAATAAAAACAAAAACTGGTTATTCTCCCAACCACCCACATTTTTCCTCAAAGATAAAAAAAGTCCTGTCCACTAATATAAAAGATTAGTTTTTTCTATTTTTGAACTTTCTGTAAATAAAATAATATAGCATGCACATTTTTATTCTAGCTTCATTTCACTCAGAATTTGGTTTGCAAGATTAATTGATATTGTTATGCTGAGCAATGGTTTGAAATGTTGTGCAGTATTCCATTTTATTAATTAACCTCAATTTATGTATTTATTCTATTGTTGTCTGGGATTTATCAGTTAGGAGTAATTATTAATAATGATACTATGAACAGTCTCATATATGGCTTTTGGTGTCCATTTGCATACATTTCCATGGAGGCTGGACAGGGTTATGGAATTCTGAGTCAGAGAGTATGCCTTTGTTCAGGTTTTGTATATATGTCAAACAGATTTCCAAAACATATTGAGTTTGAGATATCTGTTAGTGTATAGGTGGAGAGGTTAAACAGCAAGTAAAACTATAGCTTATGCTGTCAAATGGGCAATACAGGACAAATAAACACATGTGAGTTAATCCAGGTGGTAGTTAAACCCATAAGGAGAGGTGAGATTACTAGGAGGATAATATAAAGTCCAAGAAGAAAAAGAGCTACAAGAAAGAAACCTATGAATTTTTTAATTTACCCAGTGGACTGAAGAGAAACTCATAGAATCTGAGAAGGAAAAGCCACACAAAAAGTGACATTAGGCAAAGTATACATATATTTCAGGAATAGCATAGTAAAAAAAATACACATTAGGGAAAAAGTTAAAGGCAAAATGGACAGAAATGTCATTTGAATATAGTACCTAGGAAGTCATTGGTAAACTCATAAAAACCACATTAGTACAGGTAGAGATTTATAGACCAGATGATTACACAAAACTAAAGAGGGAATTCCAGGTGAGGAAGTGGCAATATTGCATTTAGACTTTTTTTCTGTATTGGAATAAATGAGTACATGAAAGATATCTCAAAGGGAAGATTGTGAAAATAGCTTGGGAAAGAACATTTCTTGTCTCTTAGGCAAGTTTAGTGGTGCATGATTTCTGTTAGCTTATTTCTTCTATTTATGGAATAATATTCCATCTGTATTTTGTTTTATAATACCTGTTGGTTGTTGATATTATTTATAGCAATACACTCTACCATGGTGATGTTTATTAAACAAACCCCAAACAGGCAAAAATTAAAAAAAAGAAAGAAAGAAAGGAAAAATTGCTAGTATTTTCCCTATGATTAGCAACATCCACAAGTTTGTTTAAGATTTTCCCCAAGTTGTGCCAGGGATGCTAATAAATGTTGCACACTGGTTCTGTCAGAGCAGCACTGTTCAATAGAGCTTGAAATTAGTGAGAGAGACAGGGGCTCTCTGACAGTCATTCTGATCATGGCCACCAATTCTGAGCAAATAGCAGCAGCTTATTTTGCTCCCAGGAGAAATAAGGTGAGTGGAAATAAATGTAAATGCCACTGCTTTGCAGTAATTTGGCTCTTTGTGATTCATGTGTCCTAATTCAGAAACCTACAAATTGAAAGCTTAAAAGCTATATTTCAGAAAATGTCTCTTAAGTACCAAAAAGAGGCCAAACGTCTATTGAAGTAATCAATTGGCTATTAGTTTCAAATATTGTATGTTTGTATGTAAGGTGTTTTATGTTTGTATGTAAGGTTCAAGATTCTCTTCTAAAATAGTGCACTGAAGCCATCAATTTCTATAGATTTTAGTTATTAATGGTTTATTTGTATGTGTGAATATGTGTGTATATGACACATGCATACATAGATACATATCTATAGTGTATGTAAGTACAATTACTTTTTTACATGTATACGTGCTTTAAAATATAGCCTTTGTCTTCTTATGTTTTTCTGCCATTAGGTAGGATTGGGTAAACTTATTTCCTTGAATTTGTTTTTGTATATATAAGGGTATATACTTTGTTGACAAGTAAATTGCAGACATATTCTTATGACTGATCAAATGGACATACACAGAATTAATTATTTGAGTCAAATATAATTTTCTTTGGCTAAGAGTCACAAAATTAGAGTCTATGTAATTAAAGAACAACTGAACATAAGGAATATGGTACTAAATTGAAAATCAAAGTATTCATGAGGTACCACCATACCAGTCTCATTTTAATATTAAAATAGAGCTATAACAAAGCCTCTGAATTCTATTTGTGCAATTGATATGCTCCAGTATTGCTAACATATGTATAATGATATAATTATTTGGGAAAACAATATGGCAAAACATTTTTTTTCCTGAAAACTGTAAAGATGCTTATCCCCTTGATTTACTAAACTTTTTCCTGGGGATTTATTATAAAAAGTAATTCAAAGATCTGAAATACATCTCTACTCTGGTGCAGTCTATGTAGCGGTATCTATTACATTAAAGTGCTTAAAAACATCTAAAATAATGCTAAAACTGTATGTATTCTTCTGCATGGGTTTCCATAACAAAATATTACTTACTGTGTGACTTAAGTAACAGAAATTTACTTCTCATAGTTCTAGGATCTGGGAAGTCCAAGATCAAGGTGCTGGCCAATTTGATTCCTTGGAGGGCTCTCTTCCTGGCTTGCAGATGGCTGCCTTCTTGCTCTGTCCTCATATGATGTTGAGAGAGATTGTCTCCTCCTTTTCTTATAAAGACACTAATCCTATCTGTTCAGAGCACCATCCTAATTACCTCACTTAACCTTAATTACGTCCTTTGAAGCTTCATCTCTTAATACTGCCACACTGGGGATAAAGGCTTCAACACAAATTGGGAAGAGACACACATGTTCAGATCATAACACAGTGATATGAAAGTAAGACTCTTGGGCTTCATAAAAATAATATTTGCTAAGATTGGGCTGGGCATGGTGTCTCACGCCTGTAATCCCAGCACTTTGGGAGGCTGAGGCAGGTGGATCACTTGAGGTCAGGAGTTTGAGTCCAGCCTGGCTAATATGGTGAAATCTTGTCTCTACTAAAATACAAAAATTAGCTGGGAGTGGTGAAAATTAGCTGGGCGTGGTGGAGTGTGCCTATAATCCCAGATACTCAGGAGGCTGGGGCAGGAGAATCTCTTGAATTTGGGAGGCTGAAGTTGCAGTGAGCCAAGATCGCATTGCTGCACTCCAGCCTGGATGACAGAGTGAGACTCTGTTAGGGAAGAAAGAAAGAAAGAAAGAGAGAAAGAGAGAAAGAGAGAAAGAGAGAAAGAGAGAAAGAGAGAAAGAGAGAAGAGAAAGAGAGAAAGAGAAAGAGAGAAAGAGAGAGAGAGAGAGAGAGAGAGGGAGGGAGGGAGCGAGGGAGGGAGGGGGAGAGAGAGAGAGAAAGAAAGAAAGAAAAGAAAGAAAGAAAGAAAGAAAGAAAGAAAGAAGGAAGGAAAGGAAGGAAGGAAGATTGAGTAAAAACGTGAGAAAATGTTTAGATCACACATTAAATGAAAACAAAGGGTCTGTATATTTCAATAGATTTATTTTAGTAGTATTTCTTTGAAAGAACCTTGAAAAATATAAATAAAAATAAAAATAACCTTTCCAGTGCTTTATTTAGGTTCTATTATTTATGCGTAAAAATATAGGTACCCTGATAGATACATGACAGAACCATCATTTTAGATAAAAGAGAAATCAATGAGCAATATTTTTTCCATGAGGATATATGTATATATATATGTGTGTGTGTGTGTGTGTGTGTGTGTGTGTGTGTGTGTGTGTGTATCTATCTGTCATATATCTGCCTATTTCTATCCTATACCATAGGGTACTATCTATTTCATAAAGATAAAAAATTCAATATAAAAGGAAACTTATGGAATGTTAGAAGAAAATACTGTAAATAATTTTTTTGACCTCATGGTAGAAAAGGTATTTAAGTAAGATATATAAAATAGAAAATCTATTTTTAAAATAAGAATACATTTTATTACATTGAACATAAGAACATAACTACTATTCATGAGTAATTCTTGTGGGTATTAGAAGGAAAATTTTCACTTGGAACACACTTTGCAAAAGATAGTCACCTTTACAATATTGTTGACAATGGATTAATATCTAGAATTTATAAAGGTCTCCTATAAAGGAATACGAACAAAACAAGCAATTGAATGAAAACAGGAGTGTCCAATAAGTATAAATATGTATTTGAACTCATTCGTAATCATGGAACTACACATTAAAACCACAATGACTTATTTTTCATCTTCCCAGACTGGCAAGATTAAAGAAGTCTAATAATATCAGTCATCAACGAGATATGAAGCAGCCAAATATTCACAAACAGTTGAATATTACTTTGACAAAGGATTGGCATTATAGATTAGAATGAAAAATGTTCATACCGTGAACTCAATAATCCATTACTTAGTTTATAGCCTAGAGATACTTTTGCATACTTGCTTCTGGAGATTTATCCAAGACTGTACATGGAAGTACTATCTATAATAGGGAAAAAATAGAAACCACACAAATAACCCATTCTCAATAGAATGTATAAAAAATTGGCAGATTCTTATAGAAAATTAAAGTATGCAAGAGTGAAAATAAAGTACTCCAATAAACACGAACAAATCTCAGAAGACAATGTTTAGATTAAAAATCAAGTGAAAGGAGAATAAAGAAATCATTATTGTACTTTTACAATCTTAAAAAAGCAGATAGACCTAAATTATATGCTAATACATACCAGACATGATAAGATGATGATGAGAAACACATTTAACCAAAGACTGAGAATGGAGTTGTAAGAAAGGTCCGTGTAGTCACTGAGGAGAGTACAGGATTTGAAGATCATACTCAATATCTTACATTGTGGGGTAGACATTACTGTTTGCAATATTACTTTTCTGCTTCATAATGTGTATATAATCATATATATATGTACACACATGTATACACACAAATACATACATATTTATAATGTTTTGTACTTGAGCTCTTTCAAATAAAAATAAAAACTTTTAAAATTTGTTGTTGTTGTTGTTGTTTGGGTTTTTTATGCAGAGACAAATGAACATTTATTTTTGTGCCTTTCTTCCTATGTATATTTCAAGTCTTTTCAAAACAAGGCCCCAGGAATCTCTATATTCAATTATATCCCTGGGCTCGTTCCATTGCTTCCGGAGTCCTGCTTTCTTGCATCTTCTATCCTGGGGTTTAATGTTGGTAAGTTAGTAACTAAAGCATTTGTAAAAATGGTTTTATTCTCTTGGAAAAACAGTATATTTGAGAAGGTCTTTCCTAGATGATTCTCTAAAGACATGATCTTCTAAAACTATAGAGGCAATTTCAATTTGACCACATTTATCCTGCTATTTTGACATCAATAAATTTTTATTACAAGCAATTAATTAGAATTATACAAATAATGATGTACTTGTTTTCAGAAATAATTGGCTGGACAACCCTAAAGCCAATTTAATTACTGAATTAATAAAATAAAGATAAATAATTTTGGAATTTTTAAATTTCCTTTTTAATTTTCTAAGTTTTTTTGAATCAGAGTAAATTATTTTTTCACTTATTTTCAGATGAACTTTAAATTATTAATCAGCCTTTGTTATGCATTAAATTATACTGATTATTGGCCCAGTGAGTATAACAGTATGGGTATGAGTTGCTTTTCCGTATTTTTGTCTACAGACTCCCATTTTTCCAAGCCCAGTTTTAGTTCACTAAACCTGGCATTGAGATTTTATTTTTATCATTAATATTATTCAATAGTAAATGTTACCAATTTTATTTTATGTTGTCTACCTATAGTCTTTATAATGAATTATTCAAAAGGCCAATTTGCCTACCATTTACCTAATTAATACAAAAATTATGGATAGTTTTAAGGCAAAGGGATAGAAAAAGGAAATATTCATAAAACTAACTCAAAACTGAAATTCAAATAAAGAGAGAGTAATAACAACAGAGAGAATTTACTCTTCTTCAGAAACATTGATACTAACTCTTGACAGCAAGGTAATGTCTAAATGCTCCTAGGTTCATCCTGGATTAGGTTAATTATTGTATTTAACATCTAATTACCACCTGTTAGATAAAGGCCAGTTTATTATAATGTTCTTCATGATGAAAAATAATGTTATATTTTAATTCTATATTTGTTCTTACATTTGTTTTCATGTAGAAAGTGTATGTAATCATGTGAGTAGTTAGGGAAAAATATACAATGGATTGTATATTGTCATCCCAACACAGAAACAAGTTGATTGTCAGGGACTTTTAAAACTAGGTAATATTATGACATTGTTGATTCTGCAGTAACTTAAATTTAAAAAGTCAAAACAATGACGCTAACAGTTTTTCAGTGTCATATTCCTAGGTGATAACAGAAATTTCCTGGAACAGAGCTAGCAAAATTGTTGTCCCAGTGTCTTGACTGGTTTAGCATTTGCCAAAATTGTTAATTTCTTAACAAAGCATAAAAGCTAAAAGTTGCATAAAAGCACTTACAGTTGACACTTGAACAACGTGCTTGAATTGTGCAGGTCCAATTTTATGGACCTTCTTTGATGGTTTGTTACTATTTGAAAAAACTTTACAGACAAACTGGGTAGGCTAGAAATATATATGTATAAAAGAAAAAGTTAGGATGCCATGAATGCATAAAATATATGCAGATACTAGTCTATTTTTATCATTTGCTGCATAAAATATACAAAAATGTATTATAAAGTTAAAATTTATAAAAACTTATGTGCACAGTTACAGGTAATATCTGATATTATTCACAGTCAAGAGAAAAGTAAAAAACCTAAAGATGCAATGTTAAATCAAAACTGCATAAAATTAACTGTAATACACACTATGCTAATGTAATAATTTTGTAGTCACCTCCTGTTACTATTGCGGTAAGCACAAATATTGCAAGTCTGACGCTAATCATTTCTTCATGAGCAGTTCATCTCTCTAGTAAATTGCATATCACAGTAAAAAGTATCTTGCGCTCTTGCTTATTTTTTATGATATTTAGTGTAACATCTTAAGCATTTAATAATACCATGCAACCCAAACAAAATGGCACTGGTGACGCTGGGAGTGCTCCCAAGCTGAGAAAAGTCATCACATTACAAGAAAAAGTTGAATTGCTTGACATGCACCTTAGATTGAAGTCTCTAGCTGTGGTTGCCTACCATTTCAAGATAAATGAATCCAACATAAGAACCATTGTTAAAAACAAAAACAAAAAAAACCCAAAAACCAAAAAAAAGGAAACTCATCAAGTCGTCACTGCAGCTATGCCAGCAGGCATGACATTGCACTGTTTTTGGGATATCTTTTAATCTCATGTTAAAATGCAGCTTATGCGGGTATAGATTGCTATAAGAAAGACATACCTATAGGCACTAATATGATTTTGGAAAAAACAAATTCATTATATGAGAACTTAAAACAAAAGTAAGGTGAAAGATCTAAAGTTGAAGAAATTAATTCCAGCAAAGGATAGTTTGATAATTTTAGAAAGAAGTTTGACTTTAAAAATGTCAAGATAACAGTTTCTGTATACAAAGGGGAAGGTTCCCAGATGCCATTAAAAAAATCATTGAGGTGAAAGACTATCTGCCTGAACAGATTTTTAATGCAGATGAAAGTGCCTGATTCTGGAAAACAATGTCACAAAGGACATTTATGAGTAAGACAGATAAGCAAACACCAGAAATTAAGGGAGAGGCCATCTTTTCTGTTCTGCACAGATACAATTGGGTTTATTATTAGGACTGCCCTTATCTATAAATCTGCTAAACTCTGAGCCTTGAAGGGAAAGAATAAACACCAGCTGCCAGTCTTTTGGTTATACAACAGAAAGGCATGTACAACAAGAATCCTTTTTCTAGAATGGTTCCATTGATGCTTTGTCCCTGAAGTCAGGAAGAACCATGTTGGGAAGGCATTGTCTTTTAAAGTTCTTTTTATATGGGACAATGTCCTTGGCCACCCAGAGCTCAGTGAATTCAACGCGAAAGGGGTAGTTGTCTTGTACTGAAACGCAACATCTCTAACTCAACCTCTAGATCAGGGGTCATAAGGATCTATAAGTTTCATTAAAAGGTACTCTATGAAAAAGATTGCCAATGCTATGGAAGCGCACCCTCATAGAACATCATGAAAGTCTGGAAAGACTAAATTATTGAAAATCCCATCATTTTTATAGAAAAAGCCATTAAAGTCATCAAGCTACAAACAACAATTTCTGTTGGAGAAAACTCTGTCCAGATGTTACACATAATTTCAAAGGATTTATGACAGAGCCAATCAAGGAGATCATGAAAAAGATTGTGGATATGGCAAAAAAAAATGTGGGAGATGAAGTGTCAAGATACAGATTTTGGAGAAATTCAAGAGCAAATAGACAGCACAGCAGAGGAATTAACAGACCACATCATGGTAGAGATGAGTGCTTCCAAACCAGTGCCAGATGATGAGGCAGAAGATGTGGAAGCAGCAGTGCCAGAAACAGAAAAGAAATGACATTAGACAATCTGGCAGAAAGATTCAGATTACTCAAGATTGCTTTTTTTTTTTTACTTCTTCTACAAAATGGATCCTTCTGTGATTGGGCAATAAAACTAAAGCAAATAGTGGAAGAAGGATAGGTACTATATAGAAATATTTTTAGAGCAACAAAAAAAGCAAAAAGGCAGAAATAACGATATATTTTTGTAAGGTTACAGCAAATGTGCCTTCCTCTCCAGCCTACCCTTCCACCTCCTCTACCTCTTCACCCTCTGCTATCCTTGAGACAGCAAGAACAATCCCTCCTCATCTTTTTTTTTTTTTTATACTTTAAGTTTTAGGGTACATGTGCACAACGTGCAGCTTTGTTATATATGTATACATGTGCCATGTTGGTGTGCTGCACCCATTAACTCGTCATTTATATTAGGTATATCTTCTAATGCTGTCCCTCCCTCCTCCCCCCACCCCACAACAGGTCCTGGTGTGTGATGTTCCCCTTCCTGTGTCCATGTGTTCTCATAGTTCAATTCCCACCTATGAGTGAGAACATGTGGTGTTTAGTTTTTTGTCCACCATCATCCTCCTCATCTTTCTTTTCTCAGGCTGTTATTCAATGTGAAGACAAAGGCCTCTATGATGATCCATTTCCACTTAATACATAGTAAATATATTATTCTTCCTTATGATTTTCTTAGTAACATCTTCTTTTATCTAGCTAAGTTTATTTTAAGAATACAACATATAACACATAAAGCTTAAAAATGTATGTTAATTGACTGGCTATGTCATTGGTAAGGTTTCTGGTCTACAGTAAGCTATAGGCTACTCAGTCAGCTTAAGCTTTTGGATACTCAAAGGTTGTATACAAATTTTTGACTGAGCAGGTTGTCAGAACCCCTAATCCCCACATTGTTCAAGGGTCAATCGTACATTGAAGTTCCACATAAACTCAGCTAGCAGTAGGAGACACACGTGGTTAAATTTGAAAGATAATTAGAGATATAATATCTCTCTCAACCCTTTCTAACAGTATAACTAACATTTTCCCTTCAAAAAATTTTAAGAATATCATGCAGGGAATATGGCGATATGATCAAGCACACTAGGACTAAAGTTATCAGAGACAGCTAATTCCTTGTGGTTTGGGGTTGTGCTGCTGTCCAATGCTACTCATTGTATTAGTTGGTGCTCAAGCCTGAGCGGTGGACTGCAAGATACCTTGGTATGGACAGAAACAATGACGCTGATCTGATTAAATGTATGATTATGTGCCAAACATCATTATTGTATTTATGTTATTTTAAAATCAATGCAAATTTTAAAATTAATTTTACTATATATAATTATACTTTTAATTTTTATGATTTTCAAAGTAATTTTTGAGTTGAACTATTTTATACACTCATCAAAATAATAGAACATTTATCAATCAAAACAGTATAACAATTTATCAAGTACATATTTCAAATATTAAATATTTTTCTTATTTCAGCACCCTTTTTTACTGTAAAAAATAATTGCAATTGGACAGTACTTAAATGGTTATTCTACTTTCTTTCATTTTTGTTACCTTTTTAATTTATATAATTTTAAAACATGTTTCCATGTTTATTGTGCACCAGATATATTTAACCTTCACATCAATCACATTATTTAACTATTTATAACTATTGTTCCCATTTGATAGATTGGAAAACTAAAGGCTAGTGAGATTATTTATTTATTTATTTATTTGAGACGGAGTCTTGCTCTGTCGCCCAGGCTGGAGTGCCCTGGCATGATGTCAGCTCACTGCAAGCTCTGCCTCCCGTGTTCATGCCATTCTCCTGCCTCAGCCTCCCGAGTAGCTGGGACTACAGGCGCCCACCACCACGCCTGGCTAATTTTTTGTATTTTTAGTAGAGACGGGGTTTCACCATGTTAGCCAGGATGGTCTCCATCTCTAGACCTCGTGATCCGCCCGCCTCAGCCTCCCAAAGTGCTGGGATTACAGGCGTGAGCCACCCCGCCCAGCCGCTAGTGAGATTTATTAACAACCTCACCAATTTTTCACAGCAAAGAAGTGAGGGTGTTAGAACTTGAGTTCAAGAAGTTCACATCTCATGCTCTTCACCATTCTGCTTTCACTTGTGTATTCTTTTCTGCAGTCATGGGATCTCTAAGTGCCAGAAAATATCAGAAAACGGGAAAAAATACCTCAATAGATATGAATTGAACTTAAATAAAATGTAATGAAAAATGCCTAAGTTACTTTAATGTTGCTCTGATCATGGGAGCCAGAGAGGAGTGTAGACCTGTTACATAATGTATTCCTGTTTCAAAGACATGTCTCCGTGGGATGCGTTATGTGTGAGGTTTAGAGGGTTGTAATAAATACGAAGTCAATAAAACATATATCTGTGTATGTAGCATTTCAAATAAACTATGCAAATGGACAAAAAACCACGTTATAGCTCTGTTTATTCTATAAAAATGTAAAAAGTAGATTTTTTTCCACTGAAAGAGAAAAAAACAAGAAGATAACTGTAACCAGCGTCTTATTTTTGAGCTGTGGCTCCATATCAGTTTGTGACCATCATCACAGATTTTAGTGAGGCAATGATACTATTCACAGAATACAGAATTGGTTTTAAAACATCTCTGTCTACTTGCCCAAAGTAGCAAAGTCATGAATTATTCTAGAAGAATGGAAGATGTTTGATGTAACATAGCATGAAGGAAACAAAATGAAGTAATTAATTCTTAGAAGTGATAGTTAAAAAAAAAGAGATAGCATACATTAAAGCTGATATCCATCTTTGGGAGCTTAGGTGTGATAAAAGAATAGCAGCCCATGACAACAGGCTCTAACTACTGAGAAGGGATAACATGAGCAGCTCTACAGAACCAAGCTGGCATAATTCATCTGCTTCCAAAATTGTCACTGTGATGTTTCAAGCATCACTTTGTACTCTGGACACATTTTGAATTGAAATTGGATTCTTTCTTTCATTTTATTCAGCAGCTCCGCCAGTTCCAGAAACAATACTCCATCCCCTACCAACCCCAAACCAACCCCAAACAAGGCAAATGATGTCTTCTTTCTGGGGCTAGAGCCTCACTGGGAGCCAGTAGGACACTATTTGGCTGTCTTGGGTATCATAAGGCAAACACAGATTATAGGCTGAGTTATGTCAAAGTCACTTTTTTTTTTTCCTTTCAAAGGACTTATATTCCCTCCTAAATACTTGGATTCTGGAATAAAAATAAAGTTTCAAGAAACAACTACTAAATATTTGATCACTTAACTTGAAAATAAACATTGTATTTTAATAAAGAAAATCAAAAGCTTGACAAAAGCTTGGTAAATTCTCAAGTAAAAGCATTTCTTTTGTATTATTATTTTATATATCTGATTTCCATTACCATGGAAACGGAAGAGAAATAGCAGTTGGAGGCCAGGAGTAGACTGGAAATACTTCTGACTTCGTAAGCTGCCTGCCAGAGGTGATAGACACTGCCAGTGTGTTATGGGTGAAAAGAAAAAGAAGACCTCCACGATTCAAAGGGCTAGCATTGTTGGTTGATAAAACCTAAGGAAAACTCTTTAGTAAATGACCATGTACAAAAATATATTCCTTTTCAGTAAAGGTCATTGAATAATTTGAATATATTTTCTGTAGCAACAAAAATATAAGATATAAAAGAGATTTTAAAGTTAATTTCGGTAAATGTCAATAACCTGAAGTATCACTCATTTTTAATGAAGTCAAGTAGAAATTCAGAAAAAGCATTGAAAATAACGAAGGAAATGTAAAAAGTTAATCTTAGAGCTTTCTGTATCTTCTGCTGCCTAACCCCAGCACATATGCACATAGACAACTAAATCTTGCCTTGTGGGAGACACATCCTCTTAGATTGAATGCACTGTTTACATTTAAAAGTTTTGATAGTGTTGAGAATCTTTAAGCCTAGATTTGATGCACATAGTCATTCTGACCAAATAAAATTCAGTATTGAGTATTTCACTCACATCCAGAAAGAATAACAGACTTCTATAATAGAAATATTTTATGATATTCTGTGTTTCTTTCCATGTCCAACAACCATATATAATTCCCCTGAAAAGGCACCAGAACTCACAATTACTAATAAATAATGGATACTGATCCAATTGATGAGAGAAAATATGCTTTGCTAACTAACAGAAGTATATAAAAATACTAAGTGTCTTTTTTTTTAATCTAAGAAACTATGTCTCCCAACCAGGTAAGATTCAAATATCTCAAAAGTCTCCCTCTTTTTATTATTATTATTATTATACTTTAAGTTTTAGGGCACATGCGCACAACGTGCAGGTTTGTTACATATGTATACATGTGCCATGTTGGTGTGCTGCACCCATTAACTCGTCATTTAGCATTAGGTATATCTCCTAATACTATCCCCCCTCCCTCCACCCCACAACAGTCCCCAGTGTGTGATGTTCCCTTTCCTGTGTCCATGTGTTTTCATTGTTCAATTCCCACCTATGAGTGAGAACATGCGGTGGGTGTTTGGTTTTTTGTCCTTGCAATAGTTTGCTGAGAATGATGGTTTCCAGCTTCATCCATGTCCCTACAAAGGACATGAACTCATCATTTTTTATGGCTGCATAGTATTCCATGGTGTATATGTGCCACATTTTCTTAATCCAGTCTATCATTGTTGGGCATTTGGATTGGTTCCAAGTCTTTGCTATTGTGAATAGTGCCACGTTGAAGGCCTCAATGATGAGATCAGGAAACACATTTTCATGAGAAGTTATTTTAAGTAATATTTTTGTAAATGGTGTGTGTTAAAGTACCTGAAATGAATACAGAATAATTATAGAATTAAAGTTATGATTTGTAAGAACTTTTGTATTTCTATCATTCAGTGGTTAGATTCTCAAGGCATTAACTTGGTCAGTTATATTGTCAAAAGTCTACACACATTTATGCAACTTTTAACATAAAATAAAGTATGCACTTTTTTTTCCTCAAGGGTATGAGTTTTTAAATTCACCATCCATTATTTTTGGGTTATTCAGATAAAACAAGTCTAATTGCTAATTGAATAATTATCCTTCAATTCAAAAATAATGATGAATTTTACTAATTTTCTACTGTTCCTTAATTTTCTTTTCTTCTGACTTTAAGGTATCATGTGTCTATTTATTTATGTAATTATTTAACATTTTTATTCTGTAACTTTATGTCTTTTCCATATTCATGTTTATTGTAAGATGTAAAGTTCTAAACATAGATATTGTGCCAAAAAATTTATTTCTCACAACCTTTAGAATGGGGTCATGTGAATTACATCCTGAAATTATAATATTTATTTTTATACTTTAATGTATGAGGATATTAGATTTTCTAGTCCCTTTTAATATTTATTTATGTATTTATGTATTTATTTTTACAGGGACTCCCTCTCTTACCCAGGCTGGAGCACAGTGGTGTGATTATTGCTCACTGCAGCATCAAACTCCTAGGCTCAAGCAGTCCTCCTGCCTCAGCCTCCCAAGTAACTAGGACTATAGGTATGTGCCACCATACTTGGTTGGTTGTTTTTAGTTTCTTTCCTAGGGTTAGGGTCTTGCTATGTTGACCAAGTTGGTCTCAAACTCCTGACCTCAAGCAATCCTCCTGCCTTGGCCTCCCAAAGTGCTGGGATTACAGGCTTGAGCCACTGTGCCCAGCCCCGTTTTAGTCTTATGCTTTATTTATTTCCTCCCAAGCTTAGAACATTTGTCATTTTTAACCTGGTTTTTGAAATCTTAGAATCTCATAGCAGGAGCAGGAAGAGATTCAGAAAATTCTGAATCCCCAAAATTCAGAAAATTGGG
Organism: Homo sapiens; assembly: GCF_000001405.40. Classification (NCBI taxonomy): domain Eukaryota; kingdom Metazoa; phylum Chordata; class Mammalia; order Primates; family Hominidae; genus Homo; species Homo sapiens. Next base: position 95,153,761 of record NC_000006.12, on the reverse strand, counting down.
AACTATCAGTTCATTTTCTGTTGCTTTAACAGAATATCAGAGGCTGGGTAATTTATAAAGAAAAGTTTATTTAGTTCATGGTTCTAGAGGTGGGGATTTCAAAAGCATGACAGTGGCATCTGGAGAGGACCTTCTTAGTGCATCACAACATGGTGAAGAGCATCACAAGGTAAGGGGATAAGAGTAAGAGATCCAGAGAAAGCTCACTTTTATAACAAAGTCACTCCTGCAATAATGAATATACTCCTGTGATAGCAATATTAATTCATTTATGAAAGCAGACCCTCATTTAGGATAGGAGAGGCATTAAGTTGCCAACACATGAACTCCTGGGGGATACATTCAAACTATAGCAAGTTCCAATTTGGTATGTATTGACATAGCAAGGACACTATTACTTCCAATGTATTTTTAAATTGTTTGTAATTTAGTGCTGAAGATTCTTTAATTCACTATGTACATGTGATGGGCTATCATTACCTGTGCAATCAGTGATTGAGCATGCAAGTTAGCATTCTGTTACTCCTCTACTATTCAATCTTAATATGACACAAACTGTGGATGACTGGAGTTTCAGCTCATAGACACGACCTTTATATTTCAGTCAAAAAGTCACAACTCACCAGCATTTAGCCTTACGGATGAACTCATTTGTTACCTACAATATGATACTCTTACAGTTTTTATGATTAGTATGATGAAAATACATTCAAGGATGACCTTTTAATATTCTAATGGTCCTTACATAAAGTGGAATTAGATATCATGCACATATTCTTGTAATTAAAGATTTATTTATTTATTTATTTATTATTTTTGGTCTGTGATTTAGTAATGCTAAAAATAAGTATACAAGACCATAGTAAGTTTATATTATGCATATATGTGTGTGCAGTAATTCATTTCAATGTATTTTACTACTCTATACATCTCACTATTCTGTATTTTTTCTTATTTAGAATTTCTGATACAAAATGGTATTAGCCATTTTAGTCCTTCCAGGAATATCATTAAGGATAAATAACTGATGCTCTGGCATGCCATTAGAACTCACAGATAGCATTTTAACCTTATGTTTTTAAACTTCAAATATCATTTGATGGGGAAATATGGTTTCTTCATAAGCAGCAGTTTGGAAGTTTTTGAACACTAAAGTTTTTGTATTCTGAACATGATAAAATAAAATATTTTATGAAAATAATGAGTCATAGAAATATATGTAGAAGATTCTGCCAGGCCTGCAAATCTTCAACATTTATCTTTACTCCTAGGTGCTCTGTCCTCAGATGTTCTTCCCTTAAAACACAAAAGCTTGGACTTGCTATGATGAGTCTCTATAATAGTACCTCTACCTTATAATTTGCCCTAATAAAAAGCTCATGTTCCTAGTCAAGAGATAATGGAAACAGTTGGGGGAAAGTGGGGAGGGAAGGAAAAAGAGAAATTATTTTCCTAGTCCTTAGGATTCTTGGATGTTATATGCAAATTTAATCCTTGGTTACTCCCTGGTTCTTATTGTCATTGTGGCTTTGTGCTTATACAGTCAAACTAAAAGGAGAATAAGAATTTACCACAATTTTTTATACATAATTGTCCCTTGGTATCCAGTGTCAATTGGTTTCAAGACTCTTCCTGCCAATACCAACATCCACGGATATTCAAGTTTCTTATAGAAAACAGTGTAGTATTTGGATATAACATATGCACCTCCTCCCATATATTCTAAATTATCTCTAGATTACAGTATGCAATACAATATAAGTAATTTGTAAATAGATGCTATAGTGCACTTTTATTGATATGTTACTTTTATTTTATTTTTAGCTTTTTAAAAATCCATATTTGTTTCAATCTGAAGATGTAGAAACCTCAGATATAGAGGGTTTACACTTGCTTATCCTCACCATTTCCAATTATAGTTCTGGGTATCAGAAAAAATAGATTAACATAGGATAAAAACATGTAACAATTGTCATATTACTCTTCCATTTATTCCATATTTATTGATAGACTATGTGCCGAAAACTGTTCCAGGTAGTGAATAAGAGACAACAGGCCCCTAGCCTCAAGGTGCTTACATTCTAGTGAAGAAGACAGACAATAAACAAATACATGTCATGCAATTTCAAATTATTATAAGTGTTATCAAAACACTTAAAAGGGATAATGAGAGAGGAGAAATGTTAGAGGAAATGTTGAGGACACGGAAGTGTCAAAAGCACCAGCTGATCAGGTATCCAGAAGATGTGATAGTGGGAACCATGTAAATATCTAAAAGAAGAGTATTCCACACAAAAGAAAGCAAATTCAAAGACTAAAAATGAGGGTGGAGTTCCTGTTTGAGTATGGCTATTGTAGAATAAGTTTAGGATAAGTTTAGGAATGTTTCAGAAAGTACACACTGTGCCCAAATCAGACAGGGCTCAGTAAGTTATGTTTAGAAAATAGACTGTTATTTTGACTCTGATAAGAGGCCTTTGGTGAGTTCTAAGCAGGAGCGTTACAGCACTGATTAGTCTTTTAAAAGGTGACTCATATGAAGGAAATATTGTCAGGACAAGAGTGGAAACTGGGAGTCAATGCGTAAATCCAAAGTTGCCTTGGACTAGAGTGTCAGGATGGAGGTAGTGAAAATGCTCTAAAACACTACTTGCTGATGGTCAGTATCTTGTGCATGAAGGTAAGAGATGAATCAATGAGGAATTCAAGGTTATTGAGGTAAGCAACTGCACGGAAGATATGGCAAGAGGTCTTGGAAAGTAATAAAAGATTCTGTATTGAAGATAATTCAACAATTGTTCTTACTATCTTCTATGAGCAAGTCCTATAAATATTACACATATAAATACAATAATATTTATAATATAATTGCATCATACTACAATAATGGTATATATAATATAATTGTATCATAATATAATTAAATATTAGGGCATGGCTCTTGAATTTCTGTGTGGATAGACTGGTAGATATAACTAGAACACAATATTATGGTATGTGTGGTAAACACCATAAGAGTAATAGAAAATAAAAACAGCAAGTGATAGGAGTTTGGAGAATGGAGAGACATCTTTTGAGATGTACATGAACAAGTTTTACAGTGAAGTTTGCATTTGAAAAATCATATACTATGGTAGAATTTTAATCTGCTGAGTTATGTAGGAAATGCATTCAGGGAAAGGAATTTCTTCAGAAAAAAATGAAACTGTAAGAAAAGTAAAGACAGCAATAAGTCTAGTTTGGTTAGAGCAGATGGTGAATATATATTTGACCCATGTCTGGAGCTAAAGCTAGAGAGATGGGCTGAGACCTAATGTAAATGACCTAAAATGCCCATTAAAATTAGTAAGTAGACATTAAAAAATGGCTTTGAAAAGTAAGTAGTGGCAAGGAAAAGTTGCTTGTATAACGTTGAATGAAAAACTAGTACTCAAAATTATATTTGCATCATGATCCCAACTATACACATACATATAAAATAAATGGAGTAGTGGTTTTAGAAATGCCAAGTTGTTTCAGGATGATAGTAAACCTTTATTTTTTATTTCTCTATTTCATAAACATTCTGTCATTAACATCAACTAATATAATAACATAGAATATTATTTAAATGATTCTAAATATGGAATTGGAAAAGAAAGAGAATTGGCCGGGCACGGTGACTTATGCCTGTAATTCCAGCACTTTGGGAGGCCAAGGAGGGTGGATCACCTGAGGTCAGGAGTTTGAGACCAGCCTGGCCAACATGGTGAAACCCCATCTCTACTAAAAATATAAAAACTAGCCAAGGGTGGTGGTGGGCGCCTGTAATCCCAGCCACTCGGAAGGCTGAGGCAGGAGAATTGCTTGAACCCAGGAGACAGAGGTTGCAGTGAGCTGACATGGTGCCACTACACTCCAGCCTCCGACAGAGTGAGACTCTGTCAAAAAAAAGAAAGAGAATTTAAGAAGAATAATAAAGAAGACTATGAATAAATAAACAGTAATGTCTTCAATGTATATATTAGATACCTACTAAATACCAGGGTTGTACTAGACACTAGTAATACAAAAATTAATGCAAGAAATCCAGCTTGCTGTGGACATGCACATGAGTGGTCAAAAACTATTACTATATTAATAGTTAATCCATATACCCCAAAGGTTGATACGCATAGAAATCACCTGGGTATTTTGTGAAATGCTCATTCTGATTTAGTACATGGTGGGTGTGTCTTCTGCATGTCTATCAAGCTCTCATGTGATGACAGTGCTGCCATCTATGCAACACACTTGCATGAGGGTAAAGGAAGTAGTTCTGGAGAATATCACACTTCAGATGAGATTGGATAAACTCAGTGAAATTAGCCAAATGAAAAAGGGAGATAAATTGGGTCCTCTCCTTTCCCCCATTCAGAATTTAATGTTGTCTTTGAGCACTAAACTAGTAATACATGGCTATAAAGTATGGTCTCTGTTTTCTATAATAGAAACGAATAGAGGATGTCAATAAATATGTGATTGAAGAGTTCAGTAAGCCCTGAATCGACAATGTAGATAAGGGCCAGGAATGTCAGGAATGGCAGGCAATTTTAATTTGATAGATGAGTATCTGATCAATTTTACTTTACATGTGTGTAGAAGCATTGCATGAAAAGAAAAGTTTTATCCTCTGGAAAAGTACTTCTCAATATTGTCAATTACTGCAATCTGGGACAATTTAAAACAGTACCAATTCCCCACCCTACTTTAGATGAATTAAATCAGACTGTGGTATCTTAAACACCCTCAGATGCTTCAAACCAGAGTTGAGAAGCACTGAGGTAGAGGAGAAAATATAAAAAATAAAAAGAATCAGAGGTTGGCCGTATTGAATAACATAACCAAGAAAATCGGGGGCCTCAGCACATGAAGTTGCAGAGATCACGCTTTCAGCCCCATAAAAGAAAAATTGCACTGTATGGGTTAAACAGAAAAAAGCAGACTATTGAAGACTATTGCAACAGGGACCAAGACTAGTGTAATAGCAAAGAAAAATTGAACTCAGGTCTACTGAAACAAAAGGTGGGAGAGTTTTTAAGTGCCGTGGTGAGCTAGCGGAAAATTCCTTGAAGACATTAGTGGGGAGATTGGTCGATGTGTTAGACTACCTGTGTTTGCTAATTAGCCATTATAAAAGTTAAGCTCCTTTTCTTCCACAGAGAATGGATGACTGAGACTGGGGACTTTATCTTTCTGATGGTTATATTTCAAAGCAATGACTCTCAGGTCCCTGAGAGAGACATTTATGAACGATAGAAGGTCTGAATCTCAAAGGAATAAATGCAAACTCTAAAATAAAAGACAGATATAAGCTAAAAATAAAATTCTACCACCCTCACCAACTGAATGGATCCCCTTGTGGGCCAGGGGACCCCAGAAAAACCTTAAAGCTGAGTTCCTGGTCATGATGGGATAGGAGGTCAGACACACCTTGTTATATCCCCTCCTTTTTGTGGTTTACAAACAACACAACTGACCAGTGTTAATGTTAAAATAGAGATCCTAAGACTGACAGAAAAGACTTTTTGTGGCAATAAGATACCAAATTATAAGTAGGACCTAAGGCGATGCCTGGCCAGGGCTAAGTCATGCATCCCTACACTTAAAGATAAATGATTCTCTAACAGCCGTAAGATTTTTCTTTTTCTCTAGCAGCTAAGCAAGGATTGGCCTCAATATAAGCAATATTAAAACAATGTGTAGCTGCACCGGTTACTAACTGACCCCTAGTTCCTGTTCCACAACTGCATGTAACTACAGCTTTGATTGTCAAGAGATGGATTTCAATAGCTTTCTTTTGGTAAGAAGACTGGAGACTATGGACTGATTCTGGCTGGTTTACAGAGATAGTGCGCTTGCATGAATTTGTGTCCTGAAAATACCAATTGGTGTATAACACCAAAAACTAATACACTTAAATGTTGTCTCCATCCCAAAATAAACATAGGTCATATGTTACATGCATGTTTGTTCAATACCCATGTGTCAGGACCATTTTCATTAATAATCATAGCTCCTTTTGTAACCACTGAATATGTGTGTTCAGAATAAAACTCTTGCCCCAACCTCTCCTCCTTCCAAGTACCTGTCTCTGGTCCTGGCTGGAAGCCTGCTTCTCAGCCTGTGAGATGGCCACCTTACAGGCTGTAGCACTTCACGTGAAATAAAGTCTCTTTTTCTCCTTTCCTGATTATAAAATATAAAATTAACACAGATTAACAAGAGAAAAACATATAAATGTATTTAAATTTATTTAATATAAAATTTATGTGACATGGCAGCCTTCAGAAATGAAGACTTAAAAACCCAGAGAAATTGTGTATTTTTATAGATATTCAGGGCAGAAATATACTTGGAGTAAAAGGGCATCATCTAACAGTAAGAAACTGGGGGGAATTTAGCAACACCTGCTTGTTCAGGTTCTTCTAGGCCTCCAGTATAGAGAAGGATCACTCTACTGAGCATCCTATGACCTACTTTCAGGGAAGGTAGGTCAGATAATTATTTTACAACCTGCTTCAGGAGAGAAAGGCCAGAGGAAGTCAAAGAGTGATCTTCCTGCTTCTGTGGTTTTCCCAATTTCCTGCAGCTTAAAATACTCAGTATTCCAAGGTAGCATATTTTTTTAGTATCATTTTCTGAGCTCCATCAGACTATAATCAGGAAAAAGCCTATCTAAAGGTTAGTCAGGTTAAGGAGAACATTAAGAGAATTCTGGACTACCTTCATACATTAGAATCAGACAATTGCCCACCTTGTTCCAGTTCTAGGGTCACCGTACTTCTGGTTAAAATTTGGCTTCTTGTGGACACCCGATTAGATAAAAAAAATCACTATCAGTTCGAGTAGACCATTCTAGTATTCCATTCCATAAAAGTGTTATTTTATTAAAGTGGATTATTATAAATTCCTGAAAAAAAGTCTGTCTAGTATAATGAAGTTCATAGTTTTATCAGTGTCCAGAAATCTATCAATATTTTAGACTTTCAATTTCAGAAATTTGCATCAATATTCATTCTAAGTTACAAAAAACTCAGAATACTATTAAAGCATAGTTTAACAACAACACATTATGAACTAGTATTACATTAAATTTTCTGCAACTTAGCAACTCATAGACATATATAATAGTAGATAAAGCTCCAGTAGTCAACACTGGCTATTATTTTCTACATACTTACAAGGATTAATTCAGTTAACACTTAAAAAATATTGGATCAATGTAATTATTATCATCTTTCATACATAAGGAAAATGAGGGAACTATATTTTAAAAAATAACTTGCCTAAGTCACAGGGTCTAAATTAACGTTGCTCACTTTAAGACTCTAGTAATCTATATTATTTGCAAATTTCGTTTCAAGGGCTTATTATATTTGTCTCTCCTTCTCACCTTCAGGGAGCCTTAAAAGAATTTGTTTCTGTCCTCTGGAACCATTAAAGGATGTATGTACCTCCAGTCTACCTTTCAAACTGCTGTTTTGTATCCCAGTATTATTATTACCATGTTCTTAAAGAAGAGTCTTTTCTGATTGTTATTTTGCTTCATAATTGTTTGTTATTGAATCTTACCCCCTACTTCTTTACATGTTCCTCTTTATTAATCAATTTCCATGATGTCTTATAGCATTATTATCATTGCATTTTTGTCTGTCACTTTATCTGGAAGTCTGGATTTCCACATGTGATGTAGCTGTCAGATGTAAGCAGCTACTTCTTTGTTTCTTCTGAGTAAACGGCAGTAAAGGGAGGCTACTACATGCACCCATAGGCCACTCCCTGAGTAAAGAGTTTTGTTTCTCATTAAAATATCCCTTTTTTTTTGAAGTAACCAGATGTAATTTCCTATCTTCATCTTCATCATGGACATATGACCAACATAATATTACCTTCCAAATGACTTGAGTAACTGGATCTATTTTCTTCCTTAGGTTCTCATTTTCTCACTTCTCATTCTACAATAGATTTATTATTGAACTAGGGAAAGATATTCATTGCAAAAGGTGACAGGAGCTTTTTGGTTTTCCCCTTGTTCTCTGAAACTCTGGACTGTGGACTTGGGAAGAAAAGTGGCTCAGCTCCCAGGACTGAACACATTAAAACAAACTTACTGTAATGGGTTGACCTTCTGGTTCTTGGTTTGAAGTGGGTATTATGAACAAGGGACTATATTTACCGTTTCTCTGAGAGTAAGGTCTTGTTCCTGTGGACATTAGGATAGCAAGCAGTGGTTACATTTCAACAGAATTATGTTCCAAGTGGCAGAGCCCTGAAGAAACTTGGCTGAATCTTGAGAGATTTGTTGTTGTTATTGTTGTTTGTGGGATGGATTTATTAGAAAACTGCTGCAATAAAAATCTAGACCTGAAGATATTGTGAAAAGAAAAAATATATTTTAGAGTTGAAACAAGTGAATCAAGATGTCTAGAAATCCATAGGAGAGTCTTTATTTACAAGTTTAAGTGTGCTATCGTTTTTACTTTACAGCTATGACTGACCTGCCCTCAGCAAGACATGCCATTTGAATTTTCTAGCTTTTATGATAAATAGATTAAACTGTGCCTGTTCTTACCCAGACTCTCTTTTAACCCAAATGAACCTGCAAGTAGACATCATTGGCTTGGGCTCTTTTCACTGGGGGTGATGTGGGCAAGAAACATATATAAGGTTAAAAGAAAAGGAAAACTATGAATCAATGAGTAGAACCTTAGACAGAAATGGAAGGAGAAGCTGACCTTTTCTTGTTAAAAACTAATTATTAGGTCAATAGAGAGCAGTAAGAAGTAAAAGGAGTCCTCCAAGCATATCCACTGCAACCACTTTGTAAGTTAACTGTTATTAAAGCATTATTTAGTTACCCACTGAGACGAAGGCAAGATCACCATCAGGGGATGACACACAGCATTTTGATTGTTTCTTCACACAATGGGAAATTTGTGGGTGTTTTTTTTTTTTTTTTTTGCATTTTTAGCACTACTTTATAAACTCTAAATTTAAGGTGTTAAATATATATGCTTTTCTTTCTGTCTTAAATAGAATGTAGGATGGCCTTTGAAATAAAATGTAATCACAATTTAAGTGCCAGCTTCTCTTAATTATTTTTAGGTGTCATGTTATTATTATGTGTACTAAGAATATTAAAAAAGTATATTGGATGACAAGCCATTCTTGTAATGTGAGGCAGGCAAACCCAGAAGTTATTAAAAAAAGGAGCATATTACCAAAAGAATTATTACTGAGTCAGTGAATAGAGACATTATGAGAAAGAAGTATCTTATCTTAGAGTGATGAGGCTAGGAGCGATACTACCTATGGAATAAATGAAAATTACTTGATCCAAATCAGAATGAATCCTGAATCTTGCTCTCCTAAGTAATATGCTGTATCTAAGCTTAGGTATGAACAAGTTAATCTCATTCATATAGTGTCGATTAATATAAAAATTCAAAAGACTTCCACTTGTGGGTATCACTGTGCTTGTATAATATCAGTGTGCCTTGGCTATTAGGAAAAGGTTTAGTAGAATAAATGAAAATAGTTTGTGACTCATTTTAATCCTTTTCCTTACAGCCAACACTTCTGGAAGGAGGAGCCAGTAATAAATATGAATTTCAAACTGGAAATAGCTGAAGAAGCAAAAAGCTCCAAGACCATAGGATAGGGATTAGAATCAGAGACTAAGCTGAGAGGATCATAGTGCCCATGTGAACTGCTTCAGGGAAGAGCAAAAGCCTGAGCGTGCTAGAAAGTGAGACAGCTGGTGACTGGGAGCACATGGTAGGAGAGCTGCATGGATAATTGTTGGCTTCAACAAACGTGGATTCACTACAGGCACTGGGGAGTAGATACACATGCACCCAGGCTTACGTCTGTGTGTGTGAGAGAGTGATATGCACATAAGCAGGAAAATATCTGCAATTCCTATCATTCTACTTTGCTTTCCTGTCAAACATCAAGTTAACAAATAAGCAACTGAAAACCATAGGCTTTCCACAGATGGAAGTAAGGTGGTTGAAAGTGATTCACCAACTAATAGATAACTATTTCTCATTGGAAGCTTCAAGGGGGCATGGCCTTTATTCTGCTAGAACACAGGTCAAAGAGATTGAGCTAGTTAAGAGCTGTTGTCTGAAAGACCTTGGACCGAATTATACTGACGTTATCTACACAAACACAGATCACACCAGATGCCAGGTGGCTGGCAGAAGCATGGATGACAGTTATAGAAAGAAGATGCCTGAGACTGCAGATGGGGAGGGAGGAAGACAGAGGACTGAGAACATGACTATACCTACCTTTACCTGAGTTCATTTTTTGCTTAATGTAGATATAGAGTGAAGAAAAAGAAAATGATACAGATTCACTTTTAGCTAAAGTTTTCACTGATAGCTTAATATTAAATGCAGAGAAAATGTAGTAACTATCAAAAAAGTAACTGGCTATTAAAAATGGAAAGATAAGATATGTTATAAAGACAGGCAGTATTATAGGGTCAGGTCGATTAAATCCAATGCAATTTCCTTGTTCTCTGTAGTTTCCCTTATACCATCTTGACAGTGCATGCCTTTCATGCCAAAGAATTTCATAGTAAGGAGTGTTCTATGGTGATTTATGAAAGCCAAGAATTTGTGACCAAAAACAAGCACCACCACCACCACCAAAAACAACAAGAATAAACAGTGTTGTAATATGACACACTGGTAAAATATGCCTCTATAACATGATCAATAAAATGGTGATAACAAGGAATTTATAGAGTTAGCATGAGAATTAGATGAAAATATACATGCATATGTATGTATGTATTTATGTGTGCACATGTAGGTGTGTATATATTCAAACAATGCCTGTCTGACTCATTTTAATAATTCAAGGGAAGTGATTATCTTGCTAAGCCATCAGTTCTCATGAAGGAGATAATGCCCATATTGCTGACTACTCTATCCCAAGTTACTCATGTCTAAATGCACAGGGAGTGTTTACTAAATATTTGTTAGAAAAATTAATATTAAATTGAGAACATGTCTATAAATTATGTGACAGAACTTTCTAAATGTTATATTCTACTTACTGTATTTTTAATTTGACAAATAAGGGTAATACCAACTGTTCAACTTTTTATGTAATTAAGAAAATACTTTAGTGGTTATTTAAATAATTAACTGTTGAAGTTTAGAAGGATATGATATTAAAATAATGTAACAGTTATTGTAAATTGATTTTATGATGGCTTTTTGATATCTCCTTTATGTTATTACATCACATACTTAAGTTAAATTGTTCCCTTTGGAAAAAATAACAAAGAATTAACACTTTACTATAGTAGATAATGAGCAAGCTAAAAACATTTTTAAAATCTAGTGTTTTGAGTATAATACTGGAAATTACATATATAGCTGAGAATTAGTATATGTATGTGTCTCTATAAACCATACACAACAAAATGATTTTTAATTACGTCACTATTTGTAGAAGATATTATTTGATTATTACTGCTATAATTTCAATAATAATTCTGAGTAGTAACTTTAATATTTTATCTAAATGACATTAGTACAAGTAACTACCTTATAAAATATTCTAATTTAAACTGAACTAAATTATTTTATTTTTAAAAGCGGATGTTTAATCAACTATTAAAATGTTATGCTTATTTTATAAATACATACATAAATCAAGTATTACATGATGTTTATTAGACCATTCCATTCATATTTAGTATTATACAATGAAAAATTATTTTTTTGGGAAATTAAAATGTTTAGTGGAAGCTTCATCTGTCAGAGATTGTAGGATCACTGGTGTGGGGCTAGTGCTTTCACCAAATAAAATAAAATAAAATCTGAACAAAATACGTAAGACAACTAGTTTCAGGCATAGAATCATAGGCAACTTGAGATTGCAATCCCTGAAAAAAGGGAACCCTGCAATCCCCTCTCAAGATGGGCTATACAGCCTCCACACTTCTGCACTTTTGGACTATGTTCCAGTTTGTTTCAGAGAGCTTGAACACAAGAAAAGTGCTGTGATCCCTCTGAGCTGAGAAAACAGAATAGAGCTTGTGGCTTCTGAAGCAGCCAGAATATAAGATATATAAGATATTCAAGTCACCAGACAAAGGGAGTCAAGAAGAGTAGAATTATGAAGAATTTGTTTTTGAGGCCTTCACTGCATGCTGAGCTGCACATATTCTTGTAGGGACTCAATTATTACAGAGTTGAGAACAGAAGAGAAACACTAGGGTTTGAGCAATGCTGAAAGATACTGGAATTCTGGCCCAGCAATAGAGGAGAGTTGATATCCCAGGTATTCAGCTAAAACAATAAAAAGATTATGCATTAGGAGTAAGAACAGTTTCTTATAGTCTACTCTAGAGTAATTATAAAAATTCCTAAAATCAAGCCTAATAAAGTTCACCTGGTAGAACTTCAGATTCAGAAAGTGTTTCCTGTGGCAGACTGCCACAGTTACTACTTGAGACTGTCACTGTGACAGTTATTATTGTTACTACTTGAAACCATCATTACAACAGTTACTACTGTTACTACTTGAGACTGTCATTACAAGACTGAAGGAAGGGGCAAACCGAACATAGAAATGAAAACTTAAAGACAAAAGAAACTGTTTTAAAGGAAGGGGCCAGGGGAAGAAGAAGAGAGCTCACTGCTTCTAGTGAGCAAAGGCAGCCACCACACTGAGCTTCCACAGCCCTTTGTATTTATTGGGTAGAAAAAGCAGGCAGGAGTAGCTAACAACTGGTCAGCTGCTTGATTGATCACAGGTTCATATTATGGCTAACAGGCTTCAGATGTGCCTAATCAGAAGAAACACTAGTGCCTGGGTCGTGACTGCCCTCAGGATTCCTTCTGGCTGGCAGCCACAGTTTGTCAGTTTGCTAACAACCTGCTTTCATGAGAACAGTTTGCTGTTTACTCATATAGCCTCCAGTGGTATGCTGAGTTAATCACGACCCTCACTCTTTCGGCCTTCAACAGTTTCCTATTCAGTTAGAGGCTTAAAAAATACCTTATGTTTTCCACAGGTCCACCCTAATGATATGTTGAAAATAAGCCTTAACAAGTTAAAATCTATGGTCTTCACAAAATACATTGGCAATGTTAAGTGTACAGTCAGTGTTAAGTGTAGTGTCCAAAAAAAGAAAGAAAGAAAAGAAAATGTTACCCATGAACAAGAAAAAAATAGAAATTGACTCTGAAGAGAGCTCAATATTGGAATTAGCAGTCTTTAAATCTACTACCAAAATATATCGAGGGGAAAATATGTTGAAATATTCATAGGAAAATGTGGATGTAATGAGTAAACAGGGAAATATAGCAAATAAATGGAATGTATAAAAAGGACCAAGTGAAAATTGTAGAGCTAAAACATATAATTGAAATAAAAAAAATCACTGGATGAGCTTAAGAATAGTATAGCAATGGTAGAAAGAAAGGTCAATGAACTTAAAGATAGTCTAGTAAAAACAATCTAATTTGAAAAACGGAGACAAAATTATTCAATACCAAGGGAAAGATCCTGAGGGACCTGCAGAACAATACTAAAAAGTTGAACATATGTGTAATTAAAGCATCACACAGAGAAGAAAGTAACAATGAAGCAGAAAAACATTTGAAGAAAAAATGGCCAAAGTTTCCCAAATTTGATGAAGAACGTTGATGTACAGATTCAAGATGTTCGGTGAGCCTTGAGCAGGTTAAATATAAAGAAATTTATATCTAAACACTTCATATTCATCAGTTTAAAAGAAAAGATCAAAGGAAAATTTTGAAAGCAGCTAGGAAAAAAAGAGCATATTATATCAAGGGAAACAAAAATTTAAATGACAACTCAGTGTATATCACATACAGTAGAAGATAAATGGAAATGGGAGGATACCTTTAAAGTGCTGAAAAAAAAAAAAAAACCTGTCATTACAGATTTATATGTCCAGGGTAAAATAAGTAGTTTTTCAGATAAATTAATGTTGAATTAATTATTAGGCCTCCACAACTACAAATAATAAAATTTACTTCGGACTGAAAGAAAATTAGTTGGAAATTGAAATCTATAGGATTAGAAATGGTAAATAAGTTGGTAAAAATAAAAATATTTTTTGTCTTCTTCCAATTCCTTTAAAGAACACTAGACATTTAAAGAAAAACTATATTGTACATAGTGGTTATAATGTGTATATGTATACATATTATATGTTAAATACATAAAGGTAATAACACCAGAGACATTCAGTAAACAGAATTATAGTTTTGTTAACTTGTTGCATTAATTGTGCAATACTGTAATCAGCTTGACCTAACTGATATTACCACTACTACATCCAACAGTTAAACAATACATATCCTTTTCAAGTCTACAAAGAAGATTCACCAAGATAGATTATGTGCTAGGGCATGTAAATCTCAAAAACAATAAATATTACAGAGTTTATTCTTTGGGGAAAGTGAAAATAAATTGTAAAATAAGAAAATTTTGAAATATCTGCAAATTAAATAATACACTGGTAAGTACTCCTTCAGTCAAATAAAAAATCTCAAAGGAAATATTAAAAACAATTGAACTGAAAAGAAATGAATGCACTAAATACCCAAATTTGCAGGATACAGTTAAAGTGGTGCTTGCATTGAAATTTGTATTTTTATATGCTTATACCTGAAAATAAAAAATGTTTAAATAACAATTAACTAAATTTAAAAACTGAGACATTCGAAAAGAGGAAATTAAATTCAAAATGGAACATATATCTAAATGTAAAATGAAAAACATAGGGAATAAAAACAAAACTTCATATCCTTGAGGCAGGTCCATAGCTTTAGATAATACTCAAAATACAAGGACTATAAAATAAAAATTTTTAATCTGGTCTTCAAAAATATTTAAACCTTTTGGTTCTTTGAAACAAATCCCTCAAAAATGGAGAAATAAAACACAGGCAGAGAAAAACATTCTCAATACATTTATCTGACAAGAACTATGTGTCTAAAACACATTCAAATATCATATAATCTCATAATTAGAAGACAACGCACTCAAATAAGAAAAGTAAACTTGTTATTTAATAATTGCCTGAAAGAAGATATATGATGGCTAATAATACAGGTAAATATTTGGCATTAGGATGTACAAACTTTAACCACAATATGATCCAAAACAGTATTTCATTCACACATTAGAATGCCCCAAGTTAAAAAGATAGACAATACCAGTTGATTCCTTGGATCCGGGGGAAATGAAATTTTCATATGTCACTGGTGGAGGTATAAGATATTAAAAGCACTTTGGAAAACAGTTTGGCAGTTTCTTATAAAATTTAGCACCCATTTAACATTGACAGCAATTCCACATGATTAATAAAAAATATATCTGCGGCAATACTTATATTTCTAACAGCTTTATTAATAATAACCAAAAGGTGAAAACAACCCAAATATTCACCATCTAAAGACATGATGATGTATAATATTGTGGTGTATTCCTAGAATTGCATACTACTCAATAATAAAATGAACAAAATACTGTGATAGTCAGGGCCATTATTAATCCCCCCAAAAAATGTTTGGCTGAGTGAAAAAGGTAAGCTTTCAGAGAGTACATACTGTATATTTATATTTATATAAAATTTAAGAAGAGTCAAAAATAATCTAAGATGATATAATCAGATCTATTTCTTGTTAAGAATCTGGTATGTACTAGGTTGTCTCCTAACTCCTCTCTTGACAGTGGGCCAAAGAGAAAAAGGTCTATTCCCTATATTTTCCCAGGGATTGGTACTATACACAAGTAAAATAAAAGACGTGATATAATATCAGGTAATGAAAAGTTACCAGCAAAAAAAGACTGATGGGTGTGAAATTTTAGCCAGGGTGCTCCTTGAGGGGTGACAAGTGTACAAAGGCCTGAATAGCAAGAGACGAAGCAAGGGGATCTGTGGAGTAAGAGTGCTCCAGGTAAAGGGAAGGGCAACATAAAACTTCTTGCACTAAACTTTTTTTTCTAGTCTGTGAAGCTACAAACATGTTAAAACAAATAATACTCATATTAATTTTTAGAATCAGTTAATGAAATCTGATACAATTTAAGTTAATTTGCATATTAAGATATTGAATCCTGAGAGTTGTATCAATATTAATATCACTTTCTTCTGATACATGTGGTTTCTGACCTTGAAGATCTCATTGATTTTTCATGTTATTACATTTGGATCAGCTCAATATCATATCCATGAGAATTAGAACAGTCTAACGAAAATATAAAATGCATTTTATTATTTGCTTTTTAAAAATGTCTTCATGGAAAGATGAGAATTTTCCTCTTTACTATGTGTAAGTGTCTGCCAGCCTTGGACACCATTATTAAAAAATAACACAGTAATATTCTTAAGGAGCAAACCCAGTATTCAGAATAGAATGCTGATATGCAGCATGCTTTTTCTTTTTTTCTATTTTTGGTTGCTTCTTAATTCAATTAAAAGCATTCATAAGTGTCTAATATTTATCAGTTTATATATCAGGCAGTTCACTTATAACAAAACTTTCTATGTGTTTATACACACACACACACACACACACATATACATATATACACACCACGTATATTTTGTATAAATAAAAATGTGCCGCATGTATTTTTATATATTTAATCGATGTGTCTATACATTTATATCACAACCGATGAGTATTTATCAAATATACATATGTATATTTGCATTATACACACATATACACATATACACACTATATATATATTATGGATGAGAGATACATATATATATATTACAGATAAGAAAGCTAATACTCTGAAATGTTAAATAATTTGCCTAAGGCCAAATAACAGTTCATTCCAAGGTCTGCAAAATTTAGATTTCTTGGATGACAAGAAAATAGAAGCTGGTTGAGGACTGAAGACTTTAGGAGGGTAGATAAAACATACACTATTCGCCCTCGTTTGTTTCATGCTGTGATAACAGAATGTCCAAGGCTGGGTAATTTATAATGAACAGAAAGTTATTGACTCAGGACTCTGGAGGCTGGAAAGTTCAAGATCAATGGGCAGGCATCTTGTGAGAGCATTGTTTTGTCATCTCATGGCAGAAGAAGAGAGAAAGGGAGAGAGAAAACAGAGGGCCAAGCTCACTCCACTGCTGAGATGAGGAAGTCAGTCCTACAATAATGCAGGAATGACATTAATCTTTTCATGAGGGCAGATCCCTCATGGCCTAATCATCTCTCATTAGGCCTCATTTTTCAACACTGTTGAATGAGATTAAGTTTTCAACACATGATTTTTGTGGGACACAGTTAAACTATAGTACTAGTGTATGAATAGTGAGAATCCATCGCCAATTACCACAACTTCACTCTTTAAACGAGAAGTTTTTAGGGACAATGCCAAGTGTCTGGATAAGATTTTGAAGAGTTTTATATTGTATGTAACATTATTTGGTAGGGGGTAATTTATTTATGTAAGTGGGAAAATTACATGAGGACTTAAGTAACATTTTAGAAAGACTCAATAGAAAGTCTCTGAATTGCACTTGGCCAAAAATCAAACTCTATAAAACTCAAACTGGCAAGTTTTCCAAACATAGTCTAGCAGGTAAACAATTTGCTTTATCAGTGTTCCTGATTCAGAAAAATCGAACTGATTCGTTCAATTATGTAAGACTAATGCAAATATTTTACTGTTTTTTAATAGCAAATATCTTGATGTGTGTGAAATTTTAGCTCTTGATACCTAACAGGTATCAATCTACAAGCTCACCAGGCAATCTCAGACATTTTAGGTTAGAAATAATAGTGTGGGCCACATGGGAACCTTGACATGAAATTTGGAATACATAATCACACTCCTTGTCCACCAGTGAATTCATTGCATCCCATTTTTCTCTGTTTCATGGGATCTATATAGATCCACACATCTCCACTTCTTATTCCCTTGTAGTGAAGGTCCCTAGAAAACATTCAAGGTTTGCTTTTTACATACAATTGATTCATTTTGATCAAATGTGTGGATGTTATTATTACTATCCAGAAATTTATTATAATCACATGTCACAATACTTTTACTTCATTTATTACATAAATGGGGAGTTTGGACATTATGCACATTAGTCTCAGAGGGGCAGGTTTCATTTTCTTCCACATGTAAAATTTAGAGTCGTCCTATAACCCATTGGTTAAAATTCCAAGCTGAAGTCAGTTGTAACACTAATATGAACTTGGACAAGTTACCTGACTTATTTGTGGTCCAGTTTCTACATCTGTGGATATTAATCAGCCAGAAACCTAAATGAGTTAACTGATACAAAGAACATAGAAAATGACTGAACACTTAATTATTACACAATACACATTGCTGCTTGTGTTACCAATATTATCTTTGTAACTGAATCTTATCTTTATGCCTTAACAATTAACCAGTCATTCAAAATATTTTCCATTTCCATACTCTGAACATTTCCTAGCTCTGAATAATGGACTAGCTTTAATTTAAAAAGAACAAAAGATATTTTCTTTATCAAGTATTCAAGAAATTACATTTTTGGCCAAAAATATCTTCTTCTTTCTGTGGAATGGCTTAGTGAAATGGGTACACATGCTGCTTACTTTTAAGAGTTCAATTATGTAAGACTAATGCAAATATTGTGCTGTTTTTTAGTAGCGAATATCTTGCTATTAAATACCTGTTTCGTTGGTGTCATAGAATTGTTTGAACTAACATAAAATGTTGTGACTCATGCTCTGGAAATTATTTATTCCTTACAGGATGATGGGGATAGTGAAAGAAAAGTTCACTGATAGTTTCTTCAACTTTTCAGGCAGGAACAGAAGACTTGGGAAACTAGCCTTGTGGCTGATATTTATTCTTTTTTTCTTATAAAATCTAAAAATAAGCAAAAATGTATACAAACAGAAAGTCTAAAAGAGATAAAATGAAAGCTTACATACAGTATGCCTTGGCGAGAAGAGGGGTACTTAGATTGTATTTAGTTTGGCTGGAGAGAGACATAATTTGACAAATAAAGCAATAAGCACAGTCAGTTTCAAAGCTTTTGTTGAAACTTTGAAAAATCTTTCTAAACTATAAATTATCAAAAATATTAATTTAAAACCAGTTGTAGTTACATTTGTAAAAGTACTTATGAGTTATAAAATTGATTTTCTCCTATATATAATTTAAAACATTTATTCATATGTTATATTCCATGTTTATACCACAGTATCTCTATTTATTTGCTGCTTCTTTCCTTAACCAACATCTAGATATTTGAAAAGATTTTTTAAGTAACAATGCTGAAACATTAGGGAAAATTATGCATAGGAATTATATAAATTTTTAAATTATTTTTTCTTTTCTATGAATAATCAGGAGACCCCTGTATATTTTGATAATATCTATTTTGTATCTTAAATCGAGTTACTTTGTCATACAGTCATGACAGTTTTAATGCAAAAGTTATACATTTTATACCTCCCTTGCCATTTAAGGTTCTATATTACATATGTGATCAAATTACTCTAAGTGATCAAGACTATTCTTATTTTTAACGCAACTGTCTAATCTTGGTTTTACAGCTTCTTCTACTTGGGCAAGTTGTCAGAACTCTTTATAATATAAACCTGCAGTTTCACAGGCATATTGGCATTTCACATCAAAGCTACACATTGATATCTGCTAAACTGGGTAACAGTTGGGGATCAGGGTAAACTCTTTGGAAAGGAATTTATAGACTTGCATGTATTATGTACGTAAGTTATACTGTGAAATTACTGTAGTATTGAGATCAACAGTCATCACAGGTAGTATATCTTCTCAGTCAACCTAAATAATTTGTGATTGTGATAGCTGAACGTGCCTAACACACTATTCTGTATTCAACGTAAACACATGGCTTTTCAGGTGATGAAAAGGAAATGCAGTATGACTGGAGTCACTACTTTCCTCTGCCTGTGGGTGGAAGCAAAACGTTTGTTTTGAATCAACAATTGTCTATTGCACATGTGGGCATTTATCTTTATGGAGTGTGTGTGTGTGTGTGTGTGTGTGCGTGTTTGTGTGAATTTACTTGTACAACTTTTGATTGAAATTACGTATCTCATTATATTGTGTTGTTTTCCCCAATATGTGTTTACTGACTCCACTTGAAGGAGAAATATTTAAAAAACAACCTAATGAATTGTATATTTTGTTTGCTTATATATTTGTTTCCCATCATAGGTAAGTATGGATCTTGTCTTATGAGCCTTAACATTCTATGTTTGATGCTGGCCCTTCTGTCTCTTCCTAATCCTTAATACTATCCTAGAGTATCAGGATCTGTGGTTTTTGTTGAGTGAAAAAGATTTTTCTTTTTAAATTAGAGGTCGTAGGTTTATTAAAGTAGACAGGAAAAGCTATTTTTTAATATGCTGGGAATTTAAATGATTACAAAATATTCTTCAAGTTTAGAATAATACATATTTTCTATACTACTGAATACGAAATACTAAAACTATAATCTTCTGAAGGCAGTATTTTGTTTTCCAGGGAAGTACTTTAAATCCTCAATACTAGGGAGGATGTTTGGTAGGAGAAAACAAGAAAAAAAATAATGAAGGAAATTGTGCTTATATAAATTTGAAGAAAGACTTCCAGGCAAACTTAGACTAAAGTGGAAACAGTGCATGTCCTATAGTAGTCACTCAATAAATACTTAATGAATGAAAAATGCTTTCAAGCCTTTCAATCACATAGAAGAAAGTGTATATAATCAGAAAGCATTTTGCAAAAACTATTTAAGAAAGGCTGTAAAAGAACTTATTTTCACTAAATGATAAGTTTCTGAATTTCCAGCATTTGCACAGATTTGTGCCATTGCAGCAAGACAGGAAATTAGCTAGAGCTGTGGCAGTAGAGTCATGGGTACTGTATGTTTGAAGCAGCAATTTTCTGTAATTTCAAGACCAAACTCTGAATGAGTCCAAAAAGATTCTAAGGACACTGTGATTTACAAATGAGTCTAGGGTAAGAAAATGTTTTGTGCGTATGGCAAATATAGGTGCGGCATGGGGCTTGAATTTATAGAATTAGAAGGAAGAAGACAGTGACTCCCTGAGAGCAACGATATTCTGGTCACAACTGGATTGCCTATATCATATATGAAAATAGATGATTATTACATCACCTTCTACTCATGGCCAAAATGGTTCAGGACATTTCACCTATAACTTGTCTCTACAATGAGCTCCTCGCAGAAACTACTAGCAAATATGCATTGGCTTGTGAGTTAAAATTAGTAATTTCTCACCGAACTATTCAAAGATGTGAATGTATTTTACATTAATAATAAAACACATTGTAGTTTTTTGTGACAATGCTTATTTATGGTTTTTAAATCAATATTTGTGTGTGTGTGTGTGTCTGTCTGTGTGTCCATCTGTCTGCCTGTGTGCTTAATTAGAGGTTTATTCTATATATATCATTTATTTCATAAGTTCTGTTTTTTTTTTAAGTGAAAGATTGTGTAATATATCAAAAAAGAAAAGAAAGTTTTCAGGGGCTGTAAGCAGAAGTAACCGAATGGAGTGAATCTGTTCAAAAATTTAAATTATTGTCTTCCTGTACAGCTTGTGTTGAAGAAGACAAAGATAATATTTTTTAAAATATTGAAGTATTCTGTTTTGATTTCCTCTTAATTATACTTTATTTCTAACTTCAATCTCCTTATTTGGGAGGGCCCTTTAGGGAAGGGGGATAGGTAGCTAAGCTTAGAACAAGGCATTAGCTTGAAAACCAAGGTTTGTGGCAAGAGAGAGTTGCTAATTTCCTAAAGCTTCTAGATAACATATTGTGGACCAAGCCTGAATTATATATTTTTATATATATATATAGAATATATATAATATATGATTTATGTAAGAATCACAAATTTCTGCTAAATAAGCTTAATCTGAGGCTGGACTAAAAGAAGAATGAAGAATGACACAAAAGGATAAAAGTATAACCTTACCAAGAATGGTGAAGAAAGCGTTATAAATAAAAAAAGGCAGGCTGTAGCATTCTTGGCTCTTTCTTTTTCCTTCTCATTTGGAGACCAGTCTTGAGGAAAGAAAGAGGTGTTACAAGCATCCAGTAGGTATGCTAAACCCTGCAGGAAGAGATAATTCTGTTGACTCCCTTCCCTTGTATGACTCTGGAAGGAGGCACTGGAGGCACAGCATCCTCAAAACATCCTTGTTGGATCAGAGTGATAAGCTGAAAGAGGGCCTGGAAATGTGTTTTTCTCAGCTTATATAAGTGTCCAGAAGTTCTCATGTACTTAAAAGACAGACAGAGAAGGTGGTCAAAGGGACTGATGAGGAGTTTCTCAGTGACAATCACAGCTAAGAGAATGAGTGATTGGAGAATGAAACTTACAGGGAAGACTGTATTCATCTTGTGATCAAACAGGCCTGGTTTCCAGTTGGCCCAGACTTCATGACAGAAATTGGCTACTGTTCCCTAAGGGTGTTTTATGAGCTTTAAAAAAATAATTTTAGTTGTTCTCTTCTTTATTAGTTCAGTCATATCTCCAAGATATTGTGTGTGCCATATAACCAGCTACATTTTAAAAACAATTATTTAATACCAAAATGGCATAATTTTAGCTGAGATATAACTTCAGTACACAACCAGAAGGAAGAAAGAAACAGATGCAAATTGGAGAAGAATTTGTTGTGCTAAAGTGTGACCAAATATGAGCTTTAACACGTTAAAAGAAGTTACTATTTTAGCAATATGTTGTTATTATCAGTTAAGGTATCAGCGCAAGAACTTTGGTCTTCCCCAGTGAAATTGTACACATTAAGAGAAAGTAATTTCTGAGGGATTCTATAAATAGAGGGGGATGTCATCAACTATAACAAATTTAAGAAATGAAACATATATATTAATGGTTTTAAAATCAGATCTAAGAGATCACTTTGCACCTCAGATGCCATGAATCAAATAATTATGGACTGTAACATGAGATGGACTAGTTCGCTACCATTCTGAATAAGTATAGCACAAGGAAATTGAGTTTAAAATTTAAGAATAATTTATTGAATAAGAATCTAATACACATCAGTGAGATAGCCAGAAATGTCTTGTTCTGATGGTCTTTAGAATGTGATTTAGTCTTTATGCATAGCTAAAAATATGAGGAAGAGCCACACATCTTCTGAAGTAATTTCTTTCATGATTTTTTAATTATGAAATATTTCCTTATATTTATTGTACTCTGTGTTTTACAGGCTGTCTCACTCATTCAGATACACACACATCTACAATCTTTTAAACATGGCTAACGCTTAAGCAAAAATGCTCATGATTAATTATTTATATATGAACTTCTATAAATTTTATCTCACAAATGTTTAATCTAAAGGTGAAGTCATTGCTTAATTGCTGTCCATATAGAAGAAAATTCTTGAGAAGATCTTATGGATATGCTTGCTGATTTCTTTTCTCACAAGTGATGACATTATACAAAATTTGATATTAATCCTTGATGTATTTTTGTATTAAAACACAAATATATTTCCACAGCTATTTGTAAATAAAAAAACCTGTAATTCTATAAATTCATCAGTCCTCTTTACATCAAATAGTAATGATTTCTGGTGAGATTTTTAAATAATTAATATGGCCTCTTAGCTGAACAACTTATTCCTTCAACTGCTTTTATGAATTTGTTTTCTATTAAGAATCACGAAGCAATATTTAGTCTTATGCAAGACAACATTCCAAGCTACACAATTCCTATGAGAAAGGGGAAGATAGTAAACTAGTCTGTATCTCATAAAGAGAAGGAATATGAAGTAGAAAGATTATATAATTTGTAGCTCACAACTAGATATTGGTAGAGTCAAGAAATCAGATTATCCTGCTTCTCTAAGCAAAAATCAATGCTTTCTCAACATGCAAACTCAATATGGGTTAAATCAGGAGCAACAGACTCTTCAGTCTGAAACTTGTGATTTGGGATACAAAATGTCATACAGTAAAGCATAATTTAATCTCCCAACTCTTCAATGTAGTTCAGCTAAAGAATTTAAGATGAGTTTGTTTCAACTGTTGAGTTAAAAAATGGACGTCTGAATTCGCTTCATTATCACTTTGATGTGTGAAAATTACGGAGGAACTCTCTTCCAGGAAGACTTCAAGACTATGCTGTTTTTGAAACAATAATTCTCACTCCTACTCTTCTTTGAAATGAGGCTGTTTTGTCAGCCTCATTTCAAAATGGGGAGTGGGTGCAGTGGGGAGAATGTTGCTTCATGTAGCCTTGTGATACTTCAGGTAAAGGCAGAACTTGTGAGAAATTCCCCACTGAAGAGAAAAGCAAATCTACACAAAGGAACTGCAATTTTTCAGATGTTATATTTTGCAAGTCATCTTTGTTCTCCTACCTACCCTCCTTCTTGAAGCAATGGTTAAGCTTTTCTTTGCCAGCAGCTAAATTAAGGTGACAGAAAGTGAAGAAACGATAAGTTTTTCTGGAGGTCTTGAACTTGTGCCAGTTTGCCTGTTTGACTATGCATGAGGGATGGCAGTGCTCTGTCAAGAAAGGCAATGTTTGGTGTCATGATCTCAGTCTGGTTGCATTCCTTTTCCTTTGGTGTGGGCTAGGGTAACTCACAATGACAGGCAAGAGTAGGGATAAACTTTTAAATACGTACACCAGACTATAAAGAAAAAAAGATGTTGTGACTAGTTTAGTTCCTTTAAAAACAATGAAGTCTGTACTAACTCTTACAGAAAAGTTTGAGATGCTTGGGATAGAATCTCAATAATACATGGAAGAAAGGATTAAAACACAAGAAATTTACATTTATAAGGTGAATTTTATCCCTATGAAAAATTGATATTTTCATAATATAATCATTTATCTTCCTGGTCCACTTTAAATCTCATATGTAATCTGCTATTTTTTCCTTTATAGAAAAAAATAAACAAATATAGAACATGTATTTTCTTTATAAAAATGAGCCCTTACAAACTGTATTTTACAGACAAGAAAATGAAGGGTCAGAGAGGTTACGTGTCTTCTCCAGGTCACATAGTTAATAAATGTTGGAGTCAGATTTCTAACCCAGGTAGTCTTGCTCCAAAGTCTGCACGATTACCTACTTTACTATATAGGTTAAATAATTGAGATTTCTCACACTGACATGAAACCAAAAGGATATTGATACACAGAGAGCAAATAAATGTCTTAATGTGGTTTGCAGGTTTGAGTTATGGGTTTGGGGAGGGGGGAAAAGGTAAGCTTGTAAAGTTATGACAAAAGTGGACATCAGAGTTTACATTTTTAAGCCCTAGAAGCCCTAGGTTGTGGCAAGGTCCAGAGTGTCCCCATGCATTGGATTGCTACAGCAAAGAGGTGCTGGGAATTAAGTGTACAGTGCTTAATGAGTCTTACACGTGAATTTTCATTTTACCCTGAAACAAATATTGGATTAAAATGTGGCCAAAAATAGGGGTTGGAAAGGGTAAGTCATGTGGTATGGCCCCAAAGAGAGGTATTATTCTACAAAAGGAACTTGTAATAGTTTGAACATGACTAAAGAGGAGTTAACTTGTCTTCTGGCAAGTGGGTTGCAGCCGTTGAAGTAGCCTGTGGTGTATAAGGGAAGGCTGTGTATATGAAGAAAAAAAATTGCCATTAATCTGTAAATGGCCCCAGACTCTGGCATAAACCTAAACAGACTTCTTTTTGGAGAGAAAACCCATCAAAAACTGATATGTAAATTAAGAGAAAAAAAAAAACCTTTCCCTCTTTTTAACCTCACCCCCAACACATATCCTTAGTGGTATAGCCATAAATAAACAATGGAACTATGTTAACTACACTAACTATAAGCTCAAAGGCCTTTTCTTAAATTAATGGTGTTTTTCACAGTTCTCCACCTCTGTAATCAAGTTACGCTTATGGAGTTGATTGAAATAAACAATCACACTCTGAAATGTGTCCCTAAATTATCATAAATGGTAAATTTAACAACAATGCAACAGGGAAATTGCCTTGTTCAAGAATGATATGATGTTTATAGATAAATCGCTTAAATGCAAAAGATATCATGTGTTCCAATGAGCATCTCTTCTTTTCAATATTATATTCTACAAAGGAACAAATGCACATGCATTTTTGTATCTGCTTCAGGGAACTCTCACATATTTTATCATCTATATTTTTAGTGGTGCTCCCTGACTGCTCACACTGCTGGAGTGCCTGGCACTGGGGACAGAAAAGCAATGTACCGTGGTCAAGAGTAACTATAATAGTAGTTTCATTTGGAGCAGGCTCTTTGCCCAAAGTCCTAATTCAAGTGATACTAAAGAGCTCTCTAGAGGTTGTAAAGGAAGGCAATTGCAAATGCGTAGCCCACAAAATTACTTTTACTTGGTTTGAAGGATACTTACTGAAACGTTTTCATTCTACTGTTCTTCATTGTTAGATACTCAGATTCTACAAAGTGGGCAAGGCAAAACGCTGCAGTATTTGGCCAAGAGGCCAACTGCAAAAATGGAAGATCATTGTATTATTTTCTTAAGAAATGTTTTGTATGTACAATAAACCATACAGTCCTCTGAAACAAATATTTTATTGTCTCAATTTTAACAGATGAATTACAATTTATATGTGGTTCATAATAAATGAATATCACTGGGCTTGAGTTTCTCAATGGAAAACGTTTAGTACAGTGTAGGTGATCCTAGTTTTGTTCTTATTTTAGTTCACACGTAATTTAATATTTATTTCTTTAGAAGTATCTGCATTTGAGCTTTAAATTTTATTTATGATAAAATATTAATGCAAATATTCAATTAAAACAAGGCAGATATTTCCATATTCCTATCCTCATTTTCCATGATATCTTCTAGTTCTTGATTATCATGAGTAAGCTCATTTTTTACACATGTGTAGTAATAGTCTGGATAGACTTTTATATTTTACCATGTTTTCTCATCCATCTCCTTTCACCTCACATTGCAGATATCCATCTATGCCAACATCATTAAGTAAGCCATCCTTTTTCCATTGTCTTGAAATATTACTTTAGTGCATATTAAACTTTCATACATATCAGGCCTATTTGCACTTCTTTTTTATTTACTTGAGTTTTTAATTTATTTTTCAATGTAATGCCATAGTAGTTTCATATTGGTAATGTCATTGTTTCTCTTCATATATTCTTTATATTTTCTACAAATTATCTATTATAGACGAAAGATACACAGTATCTACAACCCAACAAAATCACAAATCTACAACCCAGGTATGTTTTCCCATCTTTGTTTTATAGTTTCCATGCCCATTCTTTGCAGACATTTTTTTCATCCAACTGTCTAGTTGATTAATCATATTATCTCCATTGCATTTTTCAACTCTTGTAAGTTATTAATTAATGTTCTTTTCATGAGTATGTAATATTTTCATTTGTACACTTGACTTAAAATTTGGAGTTCATCGAATTTGTCATCCCCTTCTTAACCATTCATGAACATTAGAATATGTGGACTCTGACCTGACTCTCTCCATCTTCCATATGATTTTATTATATTATTTTTGTTTCATCTTGTTTTTAATTCATTCTCTAAGTCAATCATTTATTAATTTTGCTTTAATCTAAAATAGTTATTTGGAATTTACCAGAATGATTTCCTTCCTTCCAGGTCTTCTTTCCTTCTTGTTGACATATACACTTTAGAAGTACTGACAGTCAGCATCTAGCAAAGATAAAATCTCTAAATCTTTCTTTGAAAAGATATTTGATTGTCATTATTTTTGAAAGAAAGTGTGAATAAGCTTAGGTTTTTCTTTTCACCACCCCATTCTCTCAGGGCTTTGAGTGTACTGCTGCAGGTTCAAACATACTCTTGATGCAAAGCCTTGTTCTTCTGCTTCCTCTCTGCCCTCTTTCTCCCTCCTCATGTGTGCTCTTGGTTCACTTCCTAGATTTATTCCTGCCTTGCTCAATTCTCTCCTCCTCAGAGAGGACATCCCTGGACCCACCTGCTTTCACCTCCCACACTTTATCAGGGTTCATTATCATCTTTTTATCTGGCATTACATAGATATTACCTGTCTCTCTCATTTGAAGGTCCAAGTTCTAGGACTTTATTTCATTTGGTGCAATATCACTTGTGCCTAGAACACTGTCTAGGTTATGGTTGGCACTCAAAATTTGGTTGCCGAAAGAATTTGTAAAATTTATATAATTTATAGTGGATATTGTACTACATTCTTATTCCTCTGAAATAGTGATTATCAATCCTGGTTGCAAATTAGAATCACCCAAGGAATTTTAAAAACATACATGTATCCATATCCCACTCTGAACTTTCTGATTCAACTGAGCTGTCTGGTGGCACAAAGTCAATGTTTTTAAAAAGCTACCCAGGATTTTCATTTCTCTTGCTGTTTGCTTCTCTGAACAGAATACAAATCTATTTGTTAATTAAATTTCAATTTGTCAAATTTAAAGCACATTTCTTACTGCTTTTCTAGTTTACACCAAGGCATATTAACTATACCTTTAGAATGAGATAATCATTGCCAACATCACAAAACTTTTTCTATTTTCCCTCTTCTTTCCCTCACATTGACAAAAATCTTCAGAAGCCTTATTTTCCTTCCCGCTAGCCCGCCCACATACAAATAGAGATTATGAGACATTTAAAATGCTATCTGTTTTGATTTTATATTCCCACATCCTTTCCAAACCTTTGAATTTTTTGTGCTTCTTAAAAAATTTTAATTCCATATTACATATAACAATGTGTGTAACACACCCTTTTGGTGACTTACTCAAAACCATTTGGAAGTTCTTTCTTGCTTACTGGACTCCATGATTTCTTGAAGGGCAAAGTGCCCACCTCTAGTCGATAAATTATTGTCAGCCTAAGACAATCATAATCAGATTCCCCTTTCCCAAGGATTGTTTTATGTACGGACATACCTTCCAGTTTGGGCCAATCAGTAATTACAGGAAGGCTGTTATTGTGCTTATGAGACAGATATTTTTCTCTGAAAAAAGATAAGCATCAGAAAAAATGACCATTACTTTTCTGCTTCCTTTTTTTCTGTAAGAATGTGATGGTTGGTTCTGCAGTAGCAATCCGTGACCATGAAATGATAGCATCATTAAAATGTTAAAATGGAAGGATAGGAAGGGCCAGTAAAACCAAAACCAGCAACAGCAGTAACAGCCACCACAGCAAGAGAAGCATGGGACCCTTACTACCAGAGTTCTTGGAAAGTACAAAATAAATGTTTATTCTTCTGTTATTCAGAATTTCTGTGGCTTGCAGTTTAACACAATAAAACTAGACACAAATTTCATTTCAGTTTCAAAATCCTCTTATTTAACATATTTTTAAACTGTCAATCACATTAGCATCACCAATTTGAATTCAACTATAGTACATTGTAAGATGCATCACTAACCACTGTTTATATTCCCTTTTCTCCTCCCTCATGTTGAAGTTAGAGCATTTTATATTGACACTTTACTGAGGCACCTTTGAATCTTTGCACATATGTGAACATAAATTTCCTGTGCTTTAATGATGTATTATTCTTGTGTCCCAATCTTTTTGCTAAGCAATCTGAAAACTAATTGCATTGTTTTTTGGCTTTTAGTATTGTAGATTTAAAGCCCCATGATAGTCTGGTTCTCTTTTCCTTGACCCCTTTATGTTAGGAAGTAAATAAGATTTCCTTTCTCTTTCAGGATTTCTAAAGGGACGTTCAGAGGGCCTTATATTTTTACTAATCTTCTCTAGAAGTTTGCCTCAATTTGTTCCTCTACTTCTTCTAGATTTGCCTGGTAGTATGGCTGATGCCTGTAATCCCCATGCTTTGGGAGGCCAAAGCAGAAGGGTTGCTTGAGCACAGGAGTCTAACACCAGCCTGAGCAATGTAGCAAGACTCTGTCTCTAATTTAAAAATATACATATTTTTAAAACATTTTATAATGAAATCTCTTCAATTTATGCTTCAGTAGTCTCAACTTCTCTCTTACTGTACCTTTGCACAGTGTCATGAGATACATGTTTCTGATCTTCTAGGTCACTGTTTCAGTTTATTTTATTTTTTTATTTTATTTTTTAGACAGAGTCTCACTCTTGTCGCTCAGGCTGGAGTGGAATGTTGCGATCTTGGCTCACTGCAACCTCCGCCTCCTGGGTTCAAGCGATTCTCCTGCCTCAGCCTCTCAAGTAGCTGGGACTACAGGCGCCTGCCACTATGACTGGCTAATTTTTTTTTATTTTTAGTAGATAAGGGGTTTCACCATGTTGACCAGGCTCCCGGCTGGTCTCAAACTCCTGACCTCAGGTGATCCACCCGCCTCAGCCTCTCAAAGTTCTGGGATTACAGGCATGAGCCACCGCACTTGGCCTGTTTCTGTTCTTAATAGTGATCATCTTCTCATTAAATTATTTGATAAAAATATACTGAATGCTATTTTTAAAGTAAATATTTTAGAAGTCTACTTGAAAATTTTGTTTTCCAATGTTTCCCAAAACACTTACGTTTTAATGAGGTCACATATTCTGGGTTCGAGCTTGATTTTCCTTTTTCTGATTATTGAGTTTCTTCTGGTTATTTATGTATGTATTTCTTTATCTCTGCTTGCTGAAGATTTTTCCAGTCCAATCTTTAATATCACTGGCCTTATAGTAGTAAAAATTAGAGTGGTCAATGTCTTGTAGGCCATTGGTAAAGATTTGACAAATCATGTATTCTTTGCTGAGAAGTAAGGGGAAGGTGTTTCTGCCCCCAGATTTCAGCTGATACAAACAGCAGTTGTGTCCCAATCTCAGGGCCCAGAAAAGATGGTCAGAACCAACAAAACACTCAATAGCACAGTCAAGTTTGACTGGCTGGATAAGTTGCAGAGAGTCTTAATTAATTAGCCCATGTATTTTAATTTATGGTTTTATGGTTTCCCCATTTTTCCCAAAGAATCATTTGTTTTTTACTTCACCAATCCTTTAGGAAATAAGGCTTGAAATACATATTCCAGGATGTAAGCCTCTTTCCATCTAAAGAGGCATTTAAGAAGATGTTCATAGAAAGATGAAGTTAGGGATAGTTTCCAAGAATTCCAAAGCTTAGTATTGTTATTTCTAAAGCCCATTTTAAAGGACTTTATAGTTTAAAATGTCATCTGTTTCCATACATCATATGTAGTTTATATCATAACTGGGAAGGATAAGTGAAAGTAGAAAAAATTCTTAAAAGTACAGACTGAAATTTAAACTCAAAATTTATTATTATAACTGTATTCAGTATCATTTATATTATTGGCTACTATGTCAAATATGCTTTGTGGTATATGAATGCACTGAGTGGAAAGAGTACAGATTTTCTAAGATTTTGTTTAAGATGCATCAAATGGATATGCTCGCTTATAAAATACATAAAAAACAGATATATTTTTTGAGATTAATGAATTAATTTAATAAAATACAAACATTAAAGTATGTAATAATTTTTTGCATACCTATATAAACTGAAATCTGTACACATCTATAAAATTATTTTGATAATTAAAATGTTAATATTAAACTGGAGTAAACTCATGCGGTATGCACCATACTGAATTTCCCTAAATTGGTGGTTCTCAAACATTCTTAATGTGTGTCAGAATCATCTGGAGAGTGCGTTAAAACAAAGATTGCTAGATGCCACCCACAGAGTTTCTGATTCAGTAGTTCTGGCATAGGGCCTGAGAATTTGCGTTTTTAGTAATTTCCTAGGTGGTGCTACTTTAGGAAGTCTGGGGAATACAATTTTTTAACCATTGCTCTAGACAAAGATGTCCTTGAGTCACTTCAAAAATTCATTAAAACCTTTGACAAAGCAATAGCATACTTAGTTGTTCACATTTTGTTTGCTAATCTTTTGTCTTCACTTTTGGTTTTACTTTTTTATTATTATTATACTTTAAGGTTTAGGGTACATGTGCACAATGTGCAGGTTAGTTACATATGTATACATGTGCCATGCTGGTGTGCTGCACCCATTAACTAGTCATTTAGCATTAGGTATATCTCCTAAAGCTATCCCTCCCCCCTCCCCCCACCCCACAACAGTCCCCAGAGTGTGATGTTCCCCTTCCTGTGTCCATGTGTTCTCGTTGTTCAATTCCCACCTATGAGTGAGAATATGCGGTGTTTGGTTTTTTGTTCTTGCGATAGTTTACTGAGAATGATGATTTCCAATTTCATCCATGTGGTTTTACTTTTTTAAGAAAAACAAAGCAGCATGGTTTCTCTACTCTGCTCCTTTCTCCAGGTTTCAAACGGGAAATGCACAAGGGTAGATTTCTTTGTTAGTTATAGGGTGAATGTTCAGCTTTGAAGAGCTGAAGTAGTGTGCTTTACTGACAAAGATGAACCATAAAGCGGCATCGTCCTTCCCCATGATGGTCTGTGATGAGTGATCTGCGGAATGGATAAAAGCAAAGTAGCTGCTGTGTGGCATTCACTTTTACTGTAAATGATATCATATGTTTGCATTTACTTTAAACGTGATCAAATGTAATAGGAGACAGTGTTGACAGATGCTGAAAAAGTGTTAACCTTTCCTTTTATCTTTCTTGCTTATGTGTATCTTGTACCATAATTCTTCTTGGATAGTTTTATTAGCTGATAGATGAAATGTGGCACAAAATACCCACACAAAGAGTTCCATTGTTAGAAAGAATTGTTTGTAATTCTACAAATGATATAGTCAAACTGCTTGGTTCATGTATGGTAACACCAGACTCTTTAAATAAAATGGTTTTGTATAAAAGTGCATTGTTAAAAGAAAATTAATTTGTTTTGAATGTATACTGAATTTATATTAAGTAATTGAGTCCAGACATATAGACAATTGGTTTATCCTATATCAGAAAACTATTTTTCAAGAATTCTAACTCAGTTGGTTTATATGAATTGAGAGTACAGTGTATTTTTCTTAAAATTTAACAATAAAGCTATGTTAAAAGATTATATTATTACTTTGTGTACTATATATTTATTAAACTAAATAGACATCATATAAAGCAAGTGTTTGTAGGCCTTCCTTGAAGCAGATCAAAGGATTCTGTTTCACTCTACAAAGTTAATGTAGAGGATCTCTTGGGAATGTATAAAGACCCTTACTCTATAACATTGAACATATATATTAGGGCATAAACTTTATTTTATACTGAATGAAATGAGACAATATTTTGGAATATTAAATTCATCCATTTTTATTTTCCTTATATCTTTCTTGCCTTGCAATTCCAATTCTGAAGCCAGAAATATCTAAGACAGGAAAAGTTGGTTAGTTGGCCTTTTTAGCAAAACAAAAGCAAAGAAAACTTCTAATTATCCTGAGAGTATTTTATTTTATTTTATTTTATTTTCATTTTTGTCCTCCCCTGTAGTGTCAGGTGATGCCGGTGGGTCTGTTGTGGGGTCTGTTGTTAAAAAAAGAGAAGCTACTCTGACAGAAGTTGAAGAGAAACACATGAATTAATGAAAAGATAGAGAACAGGACAGCTACTAGGGAAAATATACCAACCTCAAGAGCTGAGGGAATGTCAGATCAGCCAATAAAGGCTCCTGGCCATAGTCAAAGCCAAAACAAATAACCAAGAAAAAGCAAACAAACAAAACCACTTTACGAATTAAGTCCAACACCAAATTTATCAAGGAAAGTCAAAACTATTTCATAACAGAGGAGACAGAAGGCATATGGGGGCTCTCGCATCTCAGGGTAATTTGAAACTACCTGCTACAATGCTCTACAACCCTATTTTTGAGAAAAAAAAAAGGAAAAGGCAAGATTAAGAGATATTGAGCATTTATTTTTCAAAAAAATTGTTTAAGTAATCCAAATGAATTATGATTTATACCAGATAGGGAGTTTATTATTTTAACTCACCACCTGGATTGGGAAGAGAGCTGATTAGTTAATACAGAGTGTCTATATATTCTGGTATAGTCAACCTGGTTTGGAAACCAGAATTAGTTCTGCTAATTCCTGTTACCCCAACATCAGTCTGATTGATCATTTGTCTTATTTACATTTTTTGATAAACATTACTGTTTGTAGTTGCATCACAATAAACTGGAATAAATATCCAGCTTTCTCTACACATCATTAGTAGTATGTGAGATACATGTGCAATGAATGGAATTCTCACCCAAATGCATAGTTAAATCTTAATGACCCAACTCTCTTTTCTCAGCTTTCTCCAAGGACAGCAGGCACAGTTCTTGCTGATGATAAAATGCTGTTCTGGGATAGTTCGTTCTTCTGATATTGGGTGGTAGTAGGAGAAATATTTAATGCTGCTCCTTTTTGAACACTTAGCAAACGAATGAGTTGTGTCTTGGCCACCATTGCAACCTGGGAGCTCCACAGATATGCAAGACTGTTAGTGGAGTCAAAGGAAAATAAAAGGTATTATAGGTCAGGTACATGAAGAATATGCTCAAGAAAAATAGTCTGAGCTGTCTGTCTGGCAATAGAGAATATAGATAATGCCATTTGCCATTTATCATGTGGTATACATCTATAATTATTTATCTTATTGTTTGGTAATGTTTTGAATATGCAATGACCACTTTTGGCCACCATAAGTGCACAAAGATTCATGTTTAATTAAAAATTAATAAGGGATTTTCCTGTCTCCAAAAGTTGATGATGAACATGACAATACATTGTCCACATTCACAAGCCACCATGTAGACTTGTGAAAACCATTTATCATATTAAATACAGAAGACACAATTCATCTGTGAAAGCTTCAGCATCTATTTAATAAAATTAGTCCTTATGGTAAGAGGACTCTGTAAGTTGCAGATAAATATAACTCTGATAACTGACTTATCATTTGGATCAAATAGGTATTTTAGTCTAAACTCATTTTACTCATTTGATTTCAAGTTTTCTTGTGCATTTACAAATAATGAGGCAATTGCTGTTCATGTTGGTTCTATTAGCAGAAGAAAAACTTCTCAAACAGTTAAGTGACACCAGTTTTATGTCAGTACTATCAGCTGTTAGAAATATAAATTTAATGTAAGGTTGACTTTTCTCTATCCATTTCACGGAAACAAAGTAAACCATGTTGGCAGTTAATTCTGTCAAAAATGAGACATCTGATTTTATTGTGCATGCCATTGTATGTTCAATAAATATTTCGATACTGTAGCTATATTTTTGTTGCCTTGTGGTAATAAGTTTAAAAATTTGGTGGCTCATGGTATCATAGAGAAACAATATATTTACTAAATTACCCAAGAAAAATAGTCTGAGCTGTCTGTCTGGCAATAGTATTTATGCCAGAATTATTAAAAATATTTATGGACTTGGTTGTAAGTGCACTTGTTTGTGAAGCACATGTAGCCCACGCTTGTATGTCATCAGATGTAATATTACACAAATTAATCTGTAATTATTAAAAGGTTTACATTTTTTTGTAAAACTAACACCAAATGAAAAAGAAAACTTTTAACTTGGCAATCTGCATCGTTTCTTTTTTGGTTGCTGCCCATCCAGAAGTTAATTTAGATTACATTTATATATTTATAGATGCTAGACAAACAAGTAATTTCACAACATATAATTTTGCCATAGAACTCTTCTTATAAAAAAATAATTACTCAAAATAGAAAATATAGTCAGCAGAAGGAAGAAAATGGGATGAAGAGAAACTGTATATAAGACCTCTTCCAGGGTTCTTAATTTTGAAATTCAGTCATTCAGAATTTAGTTATAATATCTTGGAACATACTTTGAGAGGATGGGTTTTAATGTAAGTCTAGCCAGAAAGCGAGCTTATAGCTAGTTTTGGAAAGCAAATGGCAGCTTAACTCATTTGGGAACCCAGAGCATGGAGCCATGCTGGTCTCCTGAACTCGACTGACCCAAAGTGTAGCCACATGGCTTAATCCACATCAAAATCATATACCAAAAAATGTGTCTCTCCTTCACAGACGTTAGTATCCTTGTATAAAGGCAAAGATTTTAGATAATCATATCTAGAAAACATTTTCCTTCTCTTCACAGAATTTTAGAAGAATGATGAAGATTATCACCTAATGTCTGAAGCACATGACTTGCAAAAATGATTGGAGAGCATGATAGTATGACAGACTGTATAAATCAATCTTGGGGGAAGAAACAACTCAACAACCAGCAGAAATCCTGATAGTAACTTTGATCTTGGGTTTTGTCCACATAGATCTGATACCTTTCTGTTTTCTCATCATGGGTGTTGATGAATAGGTTTGTGGTTTTCTTTGTCAATAAATAGATGAGTAATAAGCTATGTGTAGCTGTCAGTCAAGTTTTTATTAGGTATAATATTATTGACCTTTCAACTTACTAACCATGGAAGATTTTGATTCATAAGACATAGGATGATAAAAGACTCTGAAGATCCTAGGAGGTCTGTGTATAACCATATTGAGTACATATGAAAACAAAAAGTCCTGTAAGTTAAAATTAATTTGAACTCCTTTAAAAATTTCTTTCCAGGCACATATTCCATGTATTTACTCGCATAAACCTTTCTATGTGGAACTACTTACATGTAACAATTCAGAAATTCAGATGTGAAAGGTCAAATAATCACATCCCTACCATCATACAGAGAATAAAATAGGTATATGAAAATTATTTGCTGTACATAAGATCACATTTTTTTTAGTATTGACAATTCTAGAATCAGGATTTGTCTTTTCAGAATTTCTGTTTACTATTATTTTTCACTGCATTTAATATGTATTTCTATATTTGTATTTAGTGTCTGCTTTGAGAGTAAGCAGATACATTGTTTATAAAGGTAGTTTACAGAGAGTAATCAATGATTAACCACTACAGT
This sequence comes from Homo sapiens, assembly GCF_000001405.40. NCBI lineage: Eukaryota > Metazoa > Chordata > Mammalia > Primates > Hominidae > Homo > Homo sapiens. The sequence goes on along the minus strand of NC_000006.12, from coordinate 95,116,844 downwards.
CCATGACAAATGACATCTGGACCATTAATTTTGTTGTTTATTTTTTACTACTTAACTTGTAGATATTTATAACTGGAAAACAGCTTCCTTTCCATCCTAGACATTTAGAAGAATGATGAACAGATTGTACCACATAAATTTTAACCATATTACTTATATAAATGAATTAACAGGAATACAGTTTTAGGTTTTATAAATTAAGTTTGAGGGAGAAACAATGGGTTAAAATTAAATCATGCAATAATAGAGAACAATATTAATTTCTTCTACTTTTTCCTTTGAACAAGTGCTCCTCGTATTACTGTGTTCAAGTGTCTCCCTTTTCCCATAATCTTATACTAATGACATCCTCAAACTATATTTACATACTTTTCTATATATTTCACTCTGTTCCTCTCAATATAATGTTTATTTAATCATTATCTCCAATACTTTTCTCCTGTTTCTGGTGCAACCTGTTCTCTTTTTCTTCTTGAAATTTTTTGTTTGTTTTTTGTTTTGTTACGTGGTCTTGCTATTTTGCCTAGGCTGTCCTCAAGCTCCTGGGCTTCAGTATCCACCCACTTCAGCCTCCCCGGTAGCTGAAACTACAGGTGTGCCTCACCATGCTAAGCATCTCTGGACACTCAGTACTAGTTCCCAGTTAGCATTTGAGAGAATATTCCAGTTTGTTGTCACTCTATGTGACTAAGATGTCCTTTAACCTATGAACTCTAAGTGGTACAAATATAATTCAGAAATGGGAAAAAATGTCCTGTAGTAACACACATCCCCAGGAATTCAGTTGCTTAGCACAACAAACATTTTTCTCTCATGATGCTTTTCTAAAGCTGATTGTAAGTAGGACTCTACTCATAAGTACTCAAGACTGAGGTTGGTAGAGGTTTCATTTCAACACAAGCCTTCACAATGCCTAAGGCAGAGAGAAAGGAATATGAGTTGTGTGCTGGCTTCTAAAACTTCCTCACAGAAATGGCACATGCATTTCTACTCTTATTTCATTGCCAAGATTAAAACACATTGGTGTACCTAACTTCAGATGGGAATTGGTAGGGAAGTGAAATTCTACCCTTTGCCTGACGAGGGTCATATTCTGTGTACTCCAACCTTAAATTCCATTTTCACATTTGTGGTAGGTAGAATTCTGAGAAGACTTCAACATCCCTATATTGGAGTATAATTAGCATAATCTCCTTTGCTACAGTGTGGACAGGATCTATAAATATAATGAGAAATCACTGCCTTGATTAGGCTTATTTAGATGGTAAAGGTGAAGGGATTTTGTAGATGTAATTAAAATTCCAAGCAAGATGATTTTGAATCAATTGAAAGAAAGATGATCATGAGTGAGTCTGACAGTCAGGAAAATTTATTAAAATAGGGACTGGGCCTTTTCTGAAGAAAGAAACTCTAGCTATGAAAAAATGAGCTTCCAAGTTGTGAGATGGCCTGTAAGAAGTATGTTTGGGAGAGGGACTTGTGGTAGGGAACTGCCTCTAGAAACTGAGAGATGTCTCTAGGTGATAGCCAGTGTATATTGCAACCCAAGGAGACCCTGAACTTAGAACCCAGCTTAGCCGTGCCTAGACCTTGGAGCCACAGAACCTGTGAGATAGCAAATGTATGTTCATTTAAACCACAAAGTTTGTGGTAATTTGTTATACATTAATAGAAAATAATACATATTTCCATGTTCTCTTTCATATTCCCTCTATTCCATCTATTATATATTTTTTGGAGTTTACTAGATTATATCTTTATGAATGTAATATATATAGTATGAATGATATAAAACATACATAAATATGTAATTGAGTAAATTTCGAAAAAAAATGTAGAGCAATTAAGAGACAAGGTATTGCGCCATTGCCTAAACTATAATGTAGGAGTATGATTACAGCTTATTGCAGGATTCAGCACCTGGGCTCAAGTGATCCCAGCCTCCTGAGCCTCAGCCTCCCGAAATGATAGGACTACAGGTACGTACCACCACACTCGGCTACTTTTCAATTTTTTGTGGAGACGGGGTCTTTCTATGTTGCCCAGGCTGGTCTCGATCTCCTGGTCTCCAATGTTCCTGCTGCCTCGGCCTCTCAAAGCACTAGGATTACGTGCCTATGCCACCATGTCTAGCCTGTGAGTATATTTTTAACAGATATATCTTGATTGCATAATCCATCATTTTGTAAGCATTAATGTATGCCTATTATCAGCCAGAAATAGTGATATTGGTGATATGGGGCTTAAAAAGAAAACAAAGGCTTAAAGTTTTTATAGTGAACAGGGACAAATAAATGTGTTATTAATAAACAAAATTACATTAATAAAAGCATTTTCTAAATGTTGAGTCTTTCATAAAGTGGAGTGATCTATTCATGTATTCATTTTTTTTCTGCTAATACATACTGAGAATCTACTATATTCCAGGATATAAGGAGCAGCTAAAGTTTTATAGAATAGGTGACGTGCGAGCTGGTCTTTAAAAGGAATTTGCATCTGCCATATATTAAATAAAAAGATGAAAAGTACATGACCTGATATGTACACAAATAATACAAGCCCTTTATGAGATGAAGGTCATGGTAAATACTCTATGTTCTGAGGATGGAAAAGGCCAGAATCTAAATGGTCATGGGGTAGGGGCCCTTTTAAATCTTGATGCATCAGGGACTTTGATGTTATTCTACCTGGATCTGAGAGCAGCAATGAAGGTTAGTTGAAGAAGCATGTTTTAAATTCCTTCTCAGGATTTAGTCATTATTCATTCTTTAGAAGACTTTAAATTTGAGAAAGATCTCCCAGAGGATAGTCCAGGTCCACAGGTAAGAACGTGGCATGAAATTCTCTAGTGAATTGTATTCTTGAGCTTCTGAGGCTTAGAGCAAAGCAGATAAAAAGCAGCTAAGCAAAAAATATCAGAAGACAGTAAATTTTACCCTAATTTTTTTCAAGTTGTTTCTGGGTTTACTATAACTTTTAAGAGTGTAATAGGAAAGTTGGTGATAGGAATGAGGATAAGAACTAACCACCTTGTTTTATTTTTCACCTTCGGTCAATCAAGAGAAAGCATGTTGTCAATAGCCTTCACCTCCGATATGTAGTCAAGCAGCCTCCACTAGAGATCAATTCACAATTGAACTATGTGTTCACATGATTAACCTACTCATTCACACCTGAGCCACATTATAACTATGAAATGGGGAAACTTTCACTTTTGCAGTTCATTTTTACTCCTGTGAAAACGGGCCTCACCATAACATTGCTCTCAATCTTACAGCTATCTACTAACAGGAAACTAACCTTAAAAGAAAACAAGATCAATCACTAATTCTATTATTTAACATTAAATTTTATAAACTTTTCATCTTTACATACACATTAACTCCAAATTATACTTTTAATTTTTAACACCTGAAAAAAATGAATGTATATTAAATTTAACAAAAATGATTTAAAATTCACAAGTGAGAAAGTTATTTGAAAGAAAGTCTAGAACTTCTTCTTATTGATATTTTTGGCATTCTTGTAGGTAAAATGCAATATGTAGCCTTTTGAATGTTTCTAATGTGATAAAATATTAACCTCATAGAAAAATAGTTGTACTATTGTAGAACTTTCTGATTAAATGTTTCTCATCTGTCACTCAAAGTTTTGGAAACTGGAATTTAGTTTCTCATCTAGAGTTGTCACAATGCTTTTGAGCTGAGTAAAATTGGCTAAATTAAAGATATTATACTTAAATTAAAATTGTACCCATATTATAAGAATCAGCTGAAGCATAATCATTTCACTTAGTTTTATTACAGTTTAAAAATACAATATATGCCATATAATTTTGTTAAGAAATAGTATGAATTCAAAGTCATTTGTGGGTGTAATAGCATTATTCATTTTTTAATTTTTAAAATAAATCCCAATCTCTAAACCATAGTTAGAAAAATGCAGTCATGAAGCATGCTGACATCAGTTTTAGGTCCCAAAAGAAAGACAAAAGTATTCCCCCCAAAAGAAGTGCCATTTAATCTCCAGTGACTGCACATTGTGTTATGTCTCCTCCACCCCAAATGCCTACTTTGGTACTGATATTGCACCCTGGCTGAGTTTGTGCCAGCGTTTTGGGGAAAATGTACAGTTTTATCCCTTTGGTCAAATGAATGTATTTTCTACTCTAGGAGCCAATCTCACTATTTCAGGAGAAATTTAGACTTTTCACCATTATCTCCAAAATGTGACAAGGTCAAAGGAGGGTTAGAGGTAAATAGAAATAACGTGGGATGTTCAGAGCCTTCATAAATACAATGTTCTCTAAGTGGCTAGTATTTTGCATTTTATGAAAGTTATGACATGTACACAGTGACAAAACTTTGAGGTTAAAGTAGCAAAATGCAAAGTTAAGTGACAGGAAAATGTTACTAATATGCTTTACAGGGTAGAATTTAACATAATTTTACAGTGTACAATCATCATGTTTTAGATAACATTTTGAAAAGAAACTAATATGAATCAATGTATTACTAGCCAAGTTATAATAGAAGAATGCTCAGGTTGTGTATTTTTTGCTTCCACTTAGTTCTAGGTTTCTTACATACCTTATTTCGTTCTCTAATAATGATTCTTCAACTTGGGGATCCCCCTCATCCTTTATAGATGAGGGGACTGAGGTTTAGTATGATTAGGTGTATTTGTACTCATTTATTTATTCAAGAAGTATCCTTATTTACTTGCTTATGATTTTTTTTAGGTATTGATTACCTAACTACCTGCAGGGTACAGTGTTAGGTGCTACAGAACCCTGACAGAATTCTAAACCTAGTAAACAGCAGTCCAAGAATTGTGAAAAGAGAAATGCTTTCCTCAGATCTGTGATTCTAAAATACCCTGTATACCATGAAGAATAGGCTACATTGAAATGTTCATTTAAAATATATGTGCTTAAATTGCAGCAGTCTTTAGAACCTAAGAAGAATCTCAGTAGCCCATATAGCACTTTAATGAAATAAGTTGAGCTCTTAGACTGCTGACCAGCAGAGTGCATTGGTTTGTTCCCTGTTCTTGGGATTCTTTGATCTTGTCATAGGTTGTGCTGTTTGGGAACTCAGTTGAGCCCAATGTACAGTTGCTTCAATAAAGGGCAAATGTGAAGGATCACTTGCTGACTTTTGACATATTGCTACTCTCAGACAATCACTGTGGTCACTGGGATACAGCAATAGGTCTGAAGAATTCACTGAAATGTAGAGTCTTTGGACAGGACAGCTTCCCTTTTGAATCCATGTCTCTGGCACAATGTACATTAAAAGGTCCAATGTGGAATTACAGGTCTACTGGGAAATTCACCAAGGACTTATATTAAAATAAAAAAAATCTCAAATCAGGAAAGGCAATTTCTGTGAATAAAATAGCTAAATTAACCCTCATTTCCTAGGTTGAGGAATTCTGACAAACTACAATGTTGTGATAATGCACTTAACAAATAAACAATACTGTGAAATGAAGCAAGACTTTTTTTAAAAAAGGTAACAAAATAACTAATGTTTTAATATAGTACAGATTTTAATGTATCATAAAAGAAATGATGTGATAATATATTTTACTAAAGAGTTTAGCGGTGGGAGTAAAACTCAATTAAGGCCAGACTCATTAACATTTAATTTCATTTGGGCCTTTATTGCTTGTAAATGTATAGTTTCTTAACTTTCTCATTCACTCTTACTCATAATTCTAGTGAGCCTTACATCTTTCATGGATGACAGTGCTTCTCTAAGAAACTCCCACAGATGAATTTTTCATTTATGAAGAGACATATTTTTTTTTTTAAGAGCTGACATCTCCTGATTTAGGAGAGCTAAGCTAGTAGGGAAGCAGATACTTGTCATTGTGAAATGATCCCAAGTGAATTGAGGTAATGGAAGGAAGATGCAATTTTGACATGTACCAGTAGTTTCATACACGTGGCATAAATAATGCTTGCAATTTTGGAATAGGCAAAATACTACTGGATCTAAGCCAGTCTAGGATTTTAGGACACCTGTAAGTAGTCTGACTTTCCATGTGAAGTACCTATTTCAAAGTTGGAAATAGTACTATTTATCTGAGAAATAAAGCATTATAACAATGTTTGTATTGAAGTTAGGAGAAGATATGTGTTACTCTATTTCTTTGGTGTTTCACTAAAGAAACTTAATGTTCCAGTATTCCATAGATAAATAAGGAAAACAGTGTATTATTTTAGGCTCTTATTAAAACATATAATTATTACATATCTATGCATAAAAAATCCAAAACTTAATATTACAAATACCCATGTAACCACAGTCTAAAATCTAATAAATGTTACAGCTTCATCCTGATAATTTCAAAATTATTTTTGAGTCAATAAGTGTTACAGATAAAGTTGAGGAGGTAACGTTCCCTTGGTACCTGTGCTCAATCCTATTCCACTCCTTCCTTCACAAAAGCAACCCTTACCGTGAGACTGATTGGTATTCATGTTGTAACACTTTTACTAGTGTTATTTGTATACATAAGTAACATTTTGGATTGTCATATATGTGTATCGTGGATCGCAAGGACTCTACACAGAACAGGATCTCTTTCGAAGTCTCGTGATATGGTGTCATGATATACTTTTCATTCTACAGCTTGTTTATTCATCTTAGTGTTTTTGAGATCTATAAGTTTATATGTATAAAGATAAAAAGATAGATCATTCTTTATGTATCTCCTAGTTAATTATATTTCCAAGTATACTGTTTTTGTGTAAATTTTATGTAAATGTAGAACAAATATATTATTACTAACATCTGGATTTTTACATTTACTATTTTTCTCTGATTATTGTTCCCATCCTATCGTCCATTTAAATTTTAGTCTCATTTTATCTTTTTTTTTTTTTTTTTTTGAGACTCAGTCTTGCTCTGTAGGCCAGGCTGGATTGCAGTGGTGCTATCTTGGCTCATTGCAACCTGTGCCTCACTGGTTCAAGCGATTCTCGTGCCTCAGCCTCTCGAGTAACTGGGATTACAGGCATGTACCACCATGCCTGGCTCATTTTTGTATTTTTAGTAGAGACAGGGTTTCACCATGTCGGCCCAGCTGATCTCAAACTACTGACCTCAAAGGATCCACCCCTCTAGGCCTCCCAAAGTGCTGGGATTGATTACATGTGTCCAAGTATGTACTTTTAATGGTTACATTTAAATGTTTTAATATAAACATATAAACACAATAAATTTACTAATTAAATATAAAGGTTTTTTATATGCATACTTAAAATGTACAACAGGGTTATCTTAATTTATTTTTCCCATTTTCAATATATTGTTTTCAATTTTATTATACTTGCTTTAATCCCTACCTATAATACCAGTGATTTTTTTCCCCTTAATCAGTAAATACTGATTAAGATTTAATAAAATGTCTTAGCCATTTATTTGCTTACTATTGCTTTTTTTATCTATAACTTTTTTCTCAGTTATTTTTTGTTCCCTACTAACATATTTTCATTCATCATTTTTTCAGTGAGGGTCCATGAAATATAACATTTCTGTTTTGTTATTTTTTAACGTCTGAAAATATTCATTTAGCTTTCACATGTCAATGTATTTATTTTAGTATGGATTTCTAGATTGACAACTATGTATTCTAAACATTTTTAGAATATTATTACTTTGTATACTAGCTTCAAATGTTTTGCTGAAAACTGCAGTAAAATTGGTTGTAATTTCCTTGAAGACAATCAGTCTTTCTTTTCTCTTTATTTTCTTCCTTTGGTACTTTAGAATATTTTTTTCTTTGTGTCATGTTGCGCATTTTCACTACAATGTAAACTGATATAGGCATATTATTTATTCATTTACCTTGGTTTTCTGTGTGCTGCTTCATTCTGCGAACTATTTTTTTCTCTCTTCCTTTAAATTCTCTTTAAATTTTTAAAATTTTCTTTTATATTTAAATCTTTTCATCATGCCTTAAAAATATCTACTTACATATTATCTCTATTCTCTAATTCTGGAATTCATATCAGTTGTATGTTGAAATTATTTCATCTTTCTTTTTTTTATTATACTTTAAGTTTTAGGGTACATGTGCACAATATGCAGGTTAGTTACATATGTATACATGTGCCATGTTGGTGTGCTGCACCCAGTAACTCGTAATTTAACATTAGGTATATCTCCAAATGCTATCCCTCCCCATCCCCGACCCCACAACAGGCCCCCGTGTGTGATGTTCCCCTTCCTGTGTCCATGTGTTCTCATTGTTCAATTCCCACCTATGAGTGAGAACATGTGGTGTTCAGTTTTTTGTCCTTGCGATATTTTGCTGAGAATGATGGTTTCCAGCTTCATCCATATCCCTACAAAGGACATGAACTCATCATTTTTTATGGCTGCATAGTATTCCATGGTGTATATATGCCACATTTTCTTAATCCAGTCTGTCATTGTTGGACATTTGGGTTGGTTCCAAGTCTTTGCTATTGTGAATAGTGCCGCAATAAACATATGTGTGCATGTGTCTTTATAGCAACATGATTTATAATCCTTTGGGTATATACCCAGTAATGAGATGGCTGGGTCAAATGGTATTTCTAGTTCTAGATCCCTGAGGAATTGCCACACTGACTTCCAATGGTTGAACTAGTTTACAGTCTTAATGTTAATTTCAAGTCTTAATGTCTGAAATGTTTTGAAAAGTCTGAGAATGAGTATAAATCTAAGTAAAAAAGGCATTCAATTTTTTCATCTTTTAAAGTAAATAAATTTGCCTTATTTCCATTTTTGTCACAGATCACAAAAAATAATTTGAAAGTAAAGCTCTCTATCATAAGTGGGAATAAAAATTCAAATTACATACAACTCACAGTAGAGATAATTAACAAAATAGTAACAATGTTAATCAATTTGGTTTTGGTATGCTAATCATTAATTATATAATTTCATTATTATGTATTGAGTACTTAGTGCATGTTAGACACAAAGTCATGCACTGAATTTGTGGATGAAAAAGACTTAGAATTTGTTCTGAGACATCTGAGATTCTTGTGGTGTAACTTGGAGAGGGTGCTGAGAATGACTTGCCTGAGAATTAACTTATTGTATTCAATATTCCTAGAAATCACCTCAAATCTATGTCTGGGAATTTCTGGAGATGAAACCCTGTAATATTTCTGTTTGAAATTTATGTTCTACTGGATCCAGAGTCAAAATGGTTAGGTTGAACTAGTTTAATTTGTGTTAACTGTCCTTTGAAATTCAACGTTTATATTTTTTAACCATCAATGCCATTTTATTTTTTCAAAATGGGCAAGAATCATGATTGCAATTTATTACATTACCTTAGCTTCTATACCATAAAAATCTCTCCCAGAGAAGAAGCCCATTTATATAAGTATTATAGTAATGACAATTATTCATTTAATATATAGTATGTACCAGGATCTGTATGTATATTGCCTCATTTAATTCTCAATAACTCTATGAAGTAAAAATTATAACCTCGATTTATAGATGATGATACTAAGCCTTGGAAATTTAATCAATGCTTGAATCTTGGTGATTATAACTCCAGAGCTTTTCTCTTCACTACTAAGTTGTATTATACATTATATATGTTCCCATGGACTGGTTGGGATAACACCATCTTGATCACTAGATCAAGTCTAAACTTACCGCTCTTAGCCACAGTGTATCCTTTGCAAGATGAAGGAAGATTTATTCATACCAAAATGACCCTAGAAATCTAATAAAGAATAAATTTTTTAAAAAACTTGAAATGTTATTTTATTTAATAAATAATTATGTGTGGGCTTATGATTACGATTATGATTATGTGTGGCTAATTTTTGAAATACTTTACTGTTTTCTATTTATTCCTAAATAGTTTCATTAGAAAAGAATGAAAACTATTTTGATCATTTAGTAAATTATTATTCCCTAAGAAAAATGGAAGTTAAAGTAGATAAAAATAATAATTAGGAATGCAATATGAATTATTCTAAACTCTAATAATTGTACATAAAGTTTTCTTAATTATAGAGGATTCTCCCTCATAGTCAATGAAGTTGATTAGAATCACTTGTAGACATGAGAATGCTTACACAATCAAATGAAAATAATGTGGTATTTTAATTACCCACACCTGCAAACATTTGAAGGCAAACACCCTAGTGATTTTTTTCAAGTGTTAGAAATCAATATACAACTTGTATTCAGTCTGAAATTTGTAAGAATGCTTCCAAACTTTATTCTTTTATGAACCATGAAAACTAGTATTTCCTTGTAATTCTAAGATTTCTTCCTAATAGTTCACTTTTTATCTAGTTTCTCCTCCATCTCTTTCATTTGCTACTTTATTGTTAGAATTGTCTTTCTCCAATTACATTTTTTTAAAAGGGTACTATTATTCAGTTTTATATAGAATAATCTGCAAATTTCTTGGCATAGTTTACGCAGTCATTCATAGTATATGTAGTTACTTAAAATGGATCCAAACCCATTAAGGATGATTTTGCTTTAGGGAAAAGAAACCTATTAAAATTAGTTATGAAATCATTGAAAGATACAAAATTGTTACAAGACTCAAGTCCAAAGGCACAGATTGGTCTCACAAACCAGAACTACCCCTCTGGCTTCATGAGCCCCAGATACTGTGGCTGATTAGTTTCTCATCCTGATTACTATTTATATCCTCTTTCCTCTCTCTTTCTGCAGTCTAGATTTTCTCCTTTAGTTTACAGAAAATAGCCTTTTTATTTGTGAAGATATACTTCCCCTCATACTTAAATCTTACTGCTGAGACTCACTTTTTCCTAAATCCTAATCCTCAAAAAAAAAAAAAGTCAATTGGATCCATTTGAGGGCCATTGTCTACATTGTTCTAATCAGTTGTAGCTGGCTGGCAGGAAGTGGCATGGTCACTCCAAGCTGAAATGGAAGTGTGACCCAGCATTTTAGAAAGAACTGCAGGTAACAATCAATTATCACAGAAGGTAATGCAAGCCAGACATAGCACCTTCCCCTCAGTGCCCAGCCCCAAAATGTGTCATCTCTAGGAGCATTTTCATAGCACCATGATCCTGGATCTCTGATCCTTCTCATTTGACAGAGAGATACATTTCCTCATGCAGTGCCAGCCATGTCCCTGAGATGTGATGGTGAAGGCTCAAGTAAATGGATTTGGCTGTATTGGGTGACTGGTCATCAGAGCTAACTTCAGCTAAGTAGATATTGTTGCCATCAATGACCCCTTTCTTGACCTCAACTACATGGTCCACACATTCCACTATGTCAACCCATGGCACAATTCATGGCCTAGTCAAGGCTGAAAATAGGAAACTTGTCATGAATTAAATCTCGTTTTCCTCTTCCACGAGTGAAACCCTGCTAATATCAAATAGGGTGATGTTGGTACTGAATATGTTCTGGAGTCCACTGGAATCTTCACTATCTTGGAAAAACGTGGAGCTCACTTGAAAGGTGAAGCCAAAAAGGTCATCTGTGCCCCTTCTGCTGATGCCTCCATGTTTTTGCTGGGCACAGACAATAAGAAGTACAAAAACTTCCTCAAGATTGTCAGTGATGTCTCCTGCGTCACCAACTTTTAGCCCCCTGGCTGAGGCTATTCATGAGAGCTATGGCATCTTAATGGGACTCATGACTACATTTTGTGCCATCTTTGCCACCCAGAAGGTCCTGGATAGCCCCTCTGGCAAAATGTGGTGAGATAACCATGGAGCTGCCCAGAAATTATCCCCTGCATCTACTGGCACTGCCAAGGCTGCAGGCAAGGTCATTCTTGAGCTGAATGGGAAGCTCGCTGGAATGGCCTTTTGTGTCTGCACAATGTGTTGGTTGAAGATCTGACCTGGTGTCTAGAGAAAGCTGGCAAATGTGATGACATCAAGAAGGTGGTGAAACAGCCATTGAAGGGCTCCCTAAAAGGCATTCTTGGCTACACTGAGGACCAGGCCATCTACTATAACTTTAACAGTGACACCTACTTTTCCACATTTGATGCCGGGGCTGGTTTTACCTTCAATGACTGTTTGGTCAAGCTTATATCCCAGTGTGACAATTAATTTGGTTAAAGCAATGGGGTCAATGGGGTGGTAGATTTTTTAGATCACATGGCCTCCAAGGTGGTCTCTGTACCACCAGCACCAGAAGGAGAATAAGAGACTCTCAGCTACTGGAGAGTTTTCACATTCTAACATATTGAAAATCTCCCTTCCTTGACATGGTTTCCATCCCAGGCCCTCTGAAGAATGGAAGGGGCTTTGGGAGCCCTACCTTGCCATTTGCCATTAATAAAGTACACTGTGCCCAGCCAAACAAACAAAACAAGACAAACAAAAAAAGAAACAAAAAAAGAACCCCAAACCAAAAAACTTGGCATGATCCTAGGATCCTTCCCCAAACATAGCCAGGCATTTGTGTGAAGTATCTGTACCCAGGGAAGCATGCTTGAGTCTCAGCACCCAGGGATTTTACGTGAAGTTGACCATCTAGCATGATAAGAGAAACTCAGGACCTCAGCAATGAAAGAAGGTATATCAACAATCAGGATGTACAAAACAATCTGGATAAATCTGATAATCTGTTGAAGCATGACTAATTGCTCTAAGCTTATACAACATAATAAATAAGTAACAGAAAAAAATTTAGGGTCACATTCCCAGGGGTTGACCAAGAGTCAATCAGGTTTGCAGATTCCCTAGGAGCCATTCAAGGACTGACCAATCAGACCTGCTATGTTAACTCTTTCCTCACAGTCACATTGTCACTAGGCAGTACTCCTTTAAGGTGTTTTTTCTCTGTGACACTTTCCATCACCTAACATTGTTCGTTTCTTGATGGTCTCACCTCAAATAAAAATCTAAGAGGGCAAGGATTTGTTTTTATATTCCTATCTATTATCTATCTATCTATCTATCTATCTATCTATCTATCTATCATCTATCTATTATTTATCATCTATCATCTATCTATCTATCTTTTTTGTCCCCAGGGCCCTGGAATAGTACATATATAATCAATAAATATTTGTTGAATGAGCAAATGAACATAGCCTTTTTATCTTATTATTTTTAATTACTTTTTATTTTAGTTATTTATTTACCTATCACCCAAGAAGACTGGACACTTTTGGAAGTTACAAATATATCTTCATCTTTTTATGTCCAATACCTAAGGAATGTCAGACATATTGTGGGCTCCCCACATAGATTTGTTAGATCATTGAAGAACAAATAAACCAATAAATGCCTTATTATAAGAATAAAATAAAAGCCATTTTGTAATTACAAAAGAAATATGTTATTTTATCAGAAGGGAATAAATAAGTACAGTAGAACCTTAAGGCTGAGGGAAAATGGTATGGCTAGAATACATAAATTACCCATACCAGCCATGCTGATGTAACATCTATTCAATTAATTTAAATTGTGTCACATTATTATAAAAAGAGACTTCATTCTTAAGTTTTGAAGGAAAAAAGGAAACAAGAATTACTTATTAATATTGATCACTGATAAACAAAATTTATGTTCAAGTAATAAGTTATTCATTTTTAATAACATGAAAAATTCCTCTGAAATGCTTAAGTGGTTCTTACAAGGGTATCAAATTTTATACTGCTAATGTATTGGAAATACCTTTATGTCTACACACACAGTGGCATAAGGAATACCACATTTTTCTAACTATTTTAATAAATCAAAATTCAATCCTATATTTGAGGAAATTTTCCAAAATGTCAATCGTGTTTATATTAATTTTCCTCTTTCAGACTAAAGAAAAGTCCCTGAAATTTAGGTTGATTTAGGCACTATAACATAAGCTTTCCGGATAGAACTTGTTTGGGTTCAAATTGTGTGTTTGTTCTTTAGATACTGTGTGAATTCGAGCAAAAAATCTTGCATTTCTTTGTCTTTGTTCTCTCAGTTTTGAAATGGGATAAATTCTAATACCATCGGGTTGAGAGGTTTAGACGTGTTAATGCGTGTATAATACATGGTAAATGTCAGTAGACCATAGGTCTTTTGTCAGCCCACAGGTTACCAACAAGACATGAACTTCTCCGTTTGTATGGGCATTTATAATTTGGCAGCATAGCTACTTCTGCAACACTTTTGATTCATAGATATCAGAGAAACCATAGTGACAAATATTTTCTCTTTCTTGATGAAACATCAAACTTTGTAAGCTCTGTGGGTTGCTGCCACTAAGCGATACAAAGATCTCAGCTATTCTAGAACTTCTCAACTCCTGTCTTTTACCTCATTTTAGAAAGCCTGCTTTTTACCTTGTTCCCCAAAGTACTTCTCTTTCTCCTACTCATACACATAGTATCATCTCCTCTGAGTCTCCAGTTTTTAAAGGAGTTTGACTGTCTCTGTGATTTTTTCTGCAAAACATCCTGAGGCATAGAATTTCAAAAGGCCTGCTTTTAATACCCCTTTGAACAGGGAGAAAGAGAAACTATTAAGGAAAACACAGACATTGATATGTTGAGAATGATCCTGCCATGCTGCAATGTTCAACTTTATATTTTTCCCTACTTACCATAGTTTTACCAATTACTAAGTTGGTTATATCCACACTTTAGTATTATGTTTTAATTCACCTCACCCTATAACTTACTATGTTTGATTATATTAATTTAAAAATAAAATAAGCAAATTCAAAGAGCTTCTTTAAGATCATTCATGAATTAATAAGGAAAATTATCTTCTGAAGAGATAGAAGCATAGAATATCTAGGAGTAAGAGTTGCAGAGTCAGACAGCTGTGGAATTCAATATGGGTTCCACCACTTAGAGCCACTTACTAACTTCTAGCCAATAAAGATAGGTAACAGATTTGGGGTTGCAAAGGGGTTGTGGGTGGCGGGAGAAATTGACCACAAAGGGGAACAAGAGAACTTATGGGTGTGATGGATGTATTCTATGTCCATTGTAGTAATTTGAAAACACATACACACACACACACACACACACACACACACACACACACATACACACACACAAAAAAAACACTGTACCTCTAAAAAGGTATGAGTGTTACTGAATAAAAATTATACCACAGTAAACCTCAGTGAAAAGAAATGGGATGATGCCTTTTCAAGGGTGTATTTAACACCCAGTGAGCACTCAGTAAATATTAGCTTTTATTACCATTATTACTTAGTATTCTCATAAGAAATAGTATTTTCCTTGGAGAGATATGTGCAGCATTTTGTTATAGCATGTAAAAGTATAAATTGTGGGGAATTGAGAGGGAAAAATATTGGAAATACTTCCTACAGTCTCTCAAATCTATGGATATGGAGAAATGATTGGATTGACATGATGTTGAGACTGGTTCAAAGGTGGAAGTGAAAAAAAAAAAAAACAAAAACAAACAAACAAACAAAAAAAAACTGAAGAAAAACAGAGAGAAGGTCAGATCATTAAGCACTTTGTTTCCTGAACTTTAAGAGTTGTTTCTGGTGTGTGATCTTCCCTTCCTGTGTCCATGTGTTCTCATTGCTCAATTCCCACCTATGAGTGAGAACATGCGGTGTATGGTTTTTTGTCCTTGCAATAGTTTGCTGAGAATGATGGTTTCCAGCTTCATCCATGTCCCTACAAAGGGAGGGGGGAGGGATAGTATTAGGAGATATACCTAATGTTAAATGACGAGTTAATGGGTGCAGCACACCAACATGGCACGTGTATGTATATGTAACAAACTTGCACGTTGTGCACATGTACCCTAAAACTTAAAGTATAATTTAAAAAAAAGTGAAAAAAAAAAAAGAATTGTTTCTGGTTTCTCTGTCACAGGGATTTTGGGAAGCAGGCCACTGCCCCCTATTCATATACAATGGGCTTTTTTTTTTTTTGAATGGCCTAGTTAAGCTGCCTGCTAGCTTAAAACTAGAAATATAGAGCTTCATTTTAGAATGATTATCCAATAAAAATGGAGTAATATTTTAATATTATACTAAGCTACTTATTCAGAATTTAACTGAAGTGTGTAATTGCAGTGTTAGGGAATATATCTTCAATGCTTATAGAATTCTAGGGGTTTTTGACAACTTTCTATAAATTTAGTATGTTTATTTCTGGATTAGTTTAGTAGAAGTAGTAAAAAATGTATAACCTCTTCAGTAGAAATACAAACCTTTTTTTTTAGATAGCTTAAGGCTTCTTACTGGCTAACAACAAATTATATAGCTGGGTTTTGAATAGAAGAACAAGTAGGCCAGAAACTTTCATAGGCTCATTTCAACAACTCCTAAATTTCTCTTACCTGGCCATTGGGTATTAGATTATTCATCATTACTTGGAAACTGAAGATCTTTAGGGATTGTTTGAATAGGGGAATATACACTTTAACTGAGGAGCGTTTAATTGTAACTATCTTTTGATTTCAGCTCTTTTAACTTACTGGCCCTATGACATGGGACAAATTACTTAACTCTGAGCTTCAATTTCCTCTTCTGCAATAGTGCAAGAATTACTATACCTACTTCTATCTAACGCTGGGAGGATTAAATCCTATAAATCAAGTAAAGTACTCAGGAAAATGCCTAGACATAAGAACTCAATAAGTGCTACTTATGTTATTATTATTTTTATTTAAATAATTTGGCACAGGTCAGAAAAAGCAGATCTAAATATAAAATTTGAAAGAAAAGCAAATGTTAAATAGGAATAATACTTTCCAAATCACATCTATTAATTTATTTTTCTTTCTGTACTTTTTGTTTTATAGGGGTTAGAAGTTTGTGTCTCTAACTTGAATGTTTTTATGGGGTTGAAAATATTACAAAAGGTAGCAATAACTAACATTTATGAAACATTTATTCCAGGACCTGCTCTAAGCACTTTCCATATGCTTAGTAAGCCAATCTTCACCAGTCTAAGAGTTAAGTACTATAATTATGTCCCTTTCAGAGGAGAGACAGGCCTTGTACTAGTAGTTTGTTCTGATTACACAAAAATAAAATGGTTCAAAGAGTCTTTGGTCTAAAAATGACTTCAGAAAATAAATAGAAACCTAAAATTGTGTTATGTGTGTGTGTATTCTTAACACTGGCATTCCAATCTTCTTTTTCTTACTCTATTCTTCTTCTTTTTTTCCACTGCTACTTATGACTCGCTCACTATATTCCCTTGATGGTACCAGACAGTTTCAGTATATTATCTCAACTGATGTACATGAGGAAATAATGTTAGAATTGTCAAGTTTACAGCTGAGGAAACTGAAACACAGAACTCAGAAACCTGCCCATGCTTATTAAGAGGTAATATCTGGTTTCATGTAACATCTACTTGCTTGCATAATCTGATACCACTACTGGTATGTCAGTGAAAAATATGATAGAAATGTTTTCTGACCACTATTTTTAAATAGCATGACATTGAAGGCACAACTGTTAAATCATATTGCCAATTTCATTCATTCATAATACCAAATATAACATAGGAAGATGGTGGCTGAACCAGTGACTGTTATAATTATCATTATATATTCTATGCTTAATAATTTGTAGACAAAATATGATTGTTTATATTATCAAATTTACTACTAGAGAAGCAGATTTTTATGTTTCGTTCCATCTTTGCATAGCGTTACCTGTTTCCATCTCTGACTTTAACTTCTTTTTCCATTATATTAAATTCATATACTGCTAAAGGGATATGGACTCTCAGGGGCTTATTATTTTCCTTTTGCCAATGCCCTCAAGGGTGCTGAAGAACAACTCCTGCCTCCTCATCATTACCATACACCACATATGACTGGGAGCGGCTGCACATCTTCACACCATGACCAACACATATACACACACACACACACACACACACACACACACACACCCCTATGTGTACATTTGCCATATTTCTTTTTCAACTGAACAAGGTAATATAAAGAAACTTTATTTCTAAAAATGGCTTCAGATTTTACTTTTCTCATGTATAATGAAAGAAGAAATGTCTGACAAAATAATTTCCATGTTTCTTGAATTTTCTCAGTCATTCCCAACTTGACCTGAATTCTGTAATCCTTTATCCCTTCAGTCATCTCTATTCATATTCTATCTGGTAGATAATTCTCTCAAATGTGTCAAAAATATCTAAAACATTGTGTTTTATTACTTTGTTCTTGTCAAGAGAAACAAAGGCCACTCTTACCTAATACCAGATCTTGTAGCTCACATTGTGTAGTCTGATGCTTGAATCAAATGGAGATTTAATTTTAGATGTTTTTTGTTTAGCTTATTGACTTTATATTATATTTTTTAAAATAAATTTTCTTATTTATCAACTTTACATAGTATTAGTAGGCCTATGTTATAAAATATTAAGTAATGAAATAATTTAATTTTTAACTATTAAAAATTACGTTAATATTCTTTATAATCTCAGGTTTCACCTCCTATTTTTGTTTGGTGGCTGTCCCATTTGTGGTCATTGCAGTTTTCTGCTTTAAATGCATTTTATGTTGAAGAAAAATCTGTGGGGTCTTTTTTATCTGCAATCTTGGCTCAGCTGTTCGCAGGTGAGGTCCTCATCTTGGAAAGTCTCACTCTCCTTTAGCAATTCTTCTGTTCTCTACTCCTGGAGATGGCTGCAAAGACTATTTTCTATATATGCTTATTTTTCTTGGAATTTTTCAGGGCTTACATGGTCTCAGTAAAAACTTTAAGGGGTAGACAATTATAACATTTTTAATATTAAAATATCCATGAAGTTGTTGTGATTCCAGTAACAACTAAATAAGAAATTCTTAACAAGAGAGACACTAATTAGTGCTATGTTATTAGCACACATATTTAAACATTTTCTATGATATGTTAATTTTAGCAAACCACAAAATGGAAGTGCCTTTTGTGACTCTTAATTTGAGGCATTAAAACAAAGCAACTAAAATGATAGATCTATGAAATTTTATATTTTTATTACCTGTCTAAACTCAGAACATATTGGTTTAGAAGAATAACTTTTATTTTGGGGATTGTCACATAGTGAATGCTCAGTAAATATCCATGCAATTTTCTATCATTACAGCAGGGATAATTTTGCTGCAGTGCAAGATCTGATGATGGTAGACAATATACTCAACTTCCAGTTGTTTTCCTATGGTAACTGAATTATATTTTAATATATTTTTTCCCAGCAGAAGGGTAATAATTATTTCAAATATTAAACAATAAGAAATAAATTATGCACTTCACATAAATACAATTTTGAAATAAATTAGCTAGATAATCATCTGACCTTCTTTGCATCAGAGATAAAAGGCTGGTCCAAATGATGTGTTAGCCCTATCTATCAAACCTTATGATTCCATCATTTATATGTTTTGGAATTTTTAAGTATCTGGCATGAGAAAATTCAGTTGGTATAAATCAACAGAGAGAACAGGTAAGTGTCAGTGGGGAAGTTACGGAGGTATTTCCTACTGCTGTCAGATGTGCAAGAGCCTTTAACTGACACTGCTTTTAATGAGTTACATGGGAGAGAACTGCAACATACAGAAGGGTTTTATACGTTACTATAACTAACGAAAAATCCGTCATCTACTACACACTACTTGATGGGACACATTTTATTTTGTGATGCTAGGAATGATCAAGAGTTACTGAATTTGCCTTTTGTGTAAAATATAGAATTAATTATTACCCTATTATTTACTAGATATTGATAGGTAAAATTTTGTTTTCCTAAATGGAGAGTGAATTAACATAGATTATCTTAACATCTATTGCACATTTAATATAAGCTCATGTTTGTATGATTAATGAATATTGAATTTTTTTGTGCTAGGCAAAGTGGTGGGTAGGTCAGCAAATGCCTTTATAATCAGCAAAGATATATTGCTACACTTACAAGCAAAAGTGTAAAAGGAAAATGCAAATGATTACTCTTAACTTGATGCCTCTTTCAACCAGCATGTAAACAAAAGTACTATATTCTTCCATCTACATGTTTGTCATGATATACATGATACAATACTTTGAAGCAGAATTTAGAAAAGCTAAAATGCTTTAATAACTGTATACATTTCTCCTTTAAAATAAACAAAATGGCTTGTTTTAAAAAGAACATCAAAATTCCCTATTTGTATTAACAACAAGAATTTTGAATGTAGTATTCCAAAAAAGATAATATTGAGAAAATAGTCTAAGATTGGGTATGGCCAAGAGCTAAAAATCAATGCTATGGAATGATAGTTTGTTTTGTTGTATTTTTAAGTAAGAAAAATAGGCCAGGGAGAAGATGTAGAAAACATAAACAAGAAAAAGAAAACTTAAATATTTGACATATTTAGGACAAGGTATTCTTGATGGATCGTTGTCTTAGCTTGTTTCCTGACCCACATAGTGCCTAATATCTATTAGAGAGAAAGTCTTCTGACTACAACCCCCTTTTATAAGCATTTCTCCCCAGTGCTCTGTCAATAGAAAGAAAAGCTTTGATGTATTCACTGACAATTATTGGCTATTCTATCACTCTTTTCTTGTTCAAAACATTTATTTGGCATTTCTACAAATACAAATTTAAAATTGCAAATAGGAACCTAAATGTACTGGCCTTGGTATGGGTGTGTATTCTCTACAGATGCATTCTACTAGCAAAAATTAATGTTTTCACGGGAACTGAGTATAAAGATACTAAATATATAGATCTTTGCTGAGGAATTCTGATGTAAGGTAGGTATCTCATAATTCACAGTACACCTGATGCTAACTAATTTTGTGAGTTAATGATTAATTTGTTGAATCAACAGAATGTGTTTATATTGAACATTTAGTTTTGCCCAAATGATTACGAAAGTGTCCCTATTCATGTGGGTATTTTGATCTTGTGTGAATATAACTCAGAACCTAGTATTAATTCTAAACATTGTCAAGTTTAATGCTGTGTGCTACAAAAGGGTTCAGGTAAAAATTATAAAATACCTTTAAATTATTAGACATTTTGTCTAATTAAATATAAGCATGCATATATTTGCCAACATTCAATTAATAGTTCTGTTTTTAAAAATTTCATCTAGATGTTAAATATTAAATCCTGAAATTTATATCAAATTCCTGTAGTAGATTTTGTAAGAGAAAGGAAATGGATTAAAGAGAAGTTATAATGCCTCTATTAATTATTTTCAATTACATTGACTATATCATTTGGATTGCTGGAAATGAAGAATAACTATTTTACCTTTAAATGATTTCCTGCCCGTAGATAAATTTTTATGTATCAATATTACCAGCAAAGAAAATCCTGAAGGATGAGTTTTCAGTTTCTTGTGTTATACTTTCCCTTTAATTTCAATGTGAAAGGCCAGAATTCCATCTATAATACATGATCTGACAAGAAAAGAAAAACATCTGCAATGATTTCATTTGTGATTCCATTTCCTGCATTGCGTTAGATGCAATATAAAACCTTTTACACAAAACATCAAAAGTGTTTTATTTTGATGATTAAAATAAAAAAAATACAGCACTCCCAGGACGAAAACTGATCATATTTCCAACAAGCAGTCTCTGTTTATTTTATCTACCTGAAACATTTGAATCTCCAGATTCAAATGTTTTGCTAATCGGTTTAAATCTCCAAGCAGGCTGTAGTTCCTTAAATATTTATACAGTCTTAATGTACATCATGCTGGTTTTATTAATTTTAACCCCAAAGCCTCTTCTACCAATTACTACTTAATTACTATATTGCTTTTCCTGTTGATCGCCTTTGTTCTTTACTACAATATTAAAAAAAAAAAATGGTTGGGGGAGGGTGGAGGCATGAGTCTTGAAACAGCTAAACAAAATACCTCTTGGAATGATTCACTAAGCAGAACTTCACTCCTCTGACTCACCTGCCTATCGCAGGCAAACTTTATTGTTTTGGTTTTGCTTTGTTTTTTTCTTAATCCAAAGGCATATGCTTTCTTTTATCCTAAGAAAACAAAATAAAAAAATAGTTTTGTTTGATGGTGTTGATTTTAGTCTTGATGTACCTTGATAAAAGCACATCAAAGTCATTGAATCATCCTATCTTTCAGCCCATCAGCAAAAGAAAACATGCCTCATGGGAGCTTACTAAAATCCTTCAGCCAAAAAAATTTAAAATATTACCCTGGTTAAATTCATTTAATATTTTATTTTACAAAATGTGTTTGTGAAAGGCGTTTGTTTCAAGTGCTAAATTTTTAAAAATTCTAATATCTTTCTAGAATGTGAATTATTTTAGAATGTAAAACTAGACTTGTGAAATGCAATGATTAACACACACATGTACGATTGGAATATTTGCCATTTTAACTTTATCTGAAATAGTATCATTAAATATAACAGGGAAGTTTATTTTTTTAAATTTGTATTTGCCTAAATAATTACAAAGAAATATTTTTCACTACAAATATGAATCAATTTTAAAATCTACTCAAAGGATAAAATTCCATACTGTCATATTTTAGACACTGGGAATTGAAATACTCAGTTCTGGTTTCTAAAGAATATAAGTTAAAAATTATATTATACTTATATTTGATATGTTTACTTATAGTTTAGTGATTTTTATCTTTTACACCTATCATTTATCTATTTGCAAGTGAGATATATAAATATATGCACATGTATATGTATCTCACACACAAATCACACTTATTCTTTCACATGTACGTCAGTGGAGGGACAGTCTGAAACAGAGTAATAAATTGATATGCACTTTTTAAAAAAAAGTGATTTATTATTTATTGTTCCCTGTCTTACTAGAAGTCACTGGTTGATATTAGTTGCCAAAGTTTTAAGATAATTTAGTTTAATTTAAAATGACTTACACTCATTGTTTTTCATACCATTTCAGTTCATCACAATTGTTCTAGCTTTTTAATGGCAGTTCTATTGAACAAGTAAAAACTCAAAATAGATTAAAAAATTTTTTTAAAATAAATTATACATAAAATATCTGAATTAGGCTTTGTAATTAACCCTAAACCTCTTTTTTTTCAATTTTTAATCCAAGTTGTTTTATTATTATACTTTAAGTTCTGGGATACGTGTGCAGAACGTGCAGGTTTGTTACATAGGTATACACGTGCCACGGTGCTTTGCTGCACCCATCAACCCGTTATCTACATTAACTTTAAGTATAGTTGAGTATTGATTCTACATTGTGTTTTACAGTGATGAAAAATATATATTCTTTATGCTGCCACTAATACATATTATGTTTCTAACATTTTAAATAGCATTTAAATGTAAACCCTAAATACTCATACCTGTCCCTAGCACATAGTAGATGCTAAAAGTGTTGATGCTTATACGCATGAATCAGTAAGTATGTTCCATAGTACAACTTTTCAATTTATCCTGATCAACTAACCACTGCACAACTCTCATGGTTTTTATGTAAGTGAACAAGCTTCTAATAATTTTTTTCTTTGTAGTCATCTTGCAGGAATTCGCGTGTTACATTTTCCCATATTTATTTTATACCTGCAGTGAAAACTCATCTGTCCAACCTCAGCTTACTCAGCTTTCCTGCATGTCGAGGCATTCAGGATGCTTTCTAGTCTGGTCCAAACTACTTTTCTAACTATCTCCCACTGTTTCCTGGCATGAGTCTTCTCTATTCTTGAGAGAATAATCTGCTAGCTTTCCCTCAAACATATCTAATTTGCTCTTAACTTAGCATCTTTGTTTCTGTTGAAGCCATTATCTTCTTGCTTCTAACACAAATCACACTCATTATTCAATCTTTAGATCAAACCCTATCACCCCCAGGAGCTTTCCCAACCACTGTGGTTTCCTACTTCCATTAGAACCCCGACACTATGTTATGACTAGACCATTCCTTTGTTTGGAGTTATGATGTATGCTTCTCTTGTCTGTTCAATAGCGACATAAACCCTAGATTTTTGCTGAACACCAGTATGGTATTTGTATGGAGATGCTCAATGTATTTTAGTGAGTAAAATAAGTAGATATGCTCTGCTGGATAATTAGCTCACATTTCTACTCACTGGAAAAGAGCGAGTAGTTATTTCCAACTGCATAGATACTACGAGGATTTAATTATATTTGTTGACATGGAGCTGCATTTCACCATTGTACAAGGTTCCAATTAATCCAACATATGTAAATGTATGACATTATACCCACACCAAGTCACGTGCTGCTATATTAGGACGATTTAAAATCAAAACAAAACAAAACCACTTCCTTTTGCTGAAATATGAAATGGAATTTGTTTTCTTTTCAGGTTTTTTTGTTTGTTTTTGAAAATCAGGTATCATTAACACAACAAATGCTCTTCTAGTCTGCATTTTGGTACTAAAAATAAAGATTACATGATAAAAATGTTAAAGCATATTTTATTTTAAAAACTGACAGTCTTAATTTTTCTTTAACAAGGGTTTGAAGAGATCAATCATCTATTTTTATATTCTGGAGTTCAGTTGTACACAGAGGACCTCATTGCTTGAACTTTCCTTTTCTTTATACATAGACATTTTTATAAAATATTCATAAGAGATTGTTGACTATAGAACTACGGCAATCCTCCTGAGTGATCCTCGGAGTTTTTCAGTCAATGAACTCCATGCGGCTCTGGCAGCATGAGCTACGCTCCATAAATCAGACTAAAACCATTTTATGCTGCCTTTAAAATTACTGCTATCAACAAAACCCATGAGGCTGAATTACTTAATCTATGCAGATGTTGTTAACTGCATTAATTATTTAATTCTGACAATAAAACAGCAGTTCCATTTGCCTTAATGCAGACCATTCAGGCTGCTAAGTTTTGAAAGGAAATTTAACATTATGACCGCTAGATGGGAGTAGACAACTTTTTAAGCTAGGTACAGACAGTTTGAAAATGGTAGTTGCTAAACTTAGATGTAAGGTAATTCTAGGTTACTGTATTACATTTCTAACCAAAGCTCATGAAATATCTTTTGTTAACTAGTGTAGGTTACATTAAGATTGAATTGCTTTCCTCAAGAACCAAATTGATTTGAGGGAACTTTCTTCTTTGTTGTTAGTATAGTCATTTCTATGATTTCATGATGAATACACAATATAGAAACTTTAATATCTTTATTGACATGAAAACCAATTTCACATACCAGTTAAATAAACACTGGTTCCATAAAGTAAGTGGTCCTTTTGAAGTCTGATGGTATTTATTTAATCACATTAATTAGAAATTAACACAAGGAATTGTATAGGTTATTGCTACCTTTAGACTGCTAGTCTAAAGGATTACTTTACGCACATGTGTTGAATATTAAACTTCTCCAATCAGCCATGTGCATAAAGCCAGACATGTACAGAAATCAAAATTATTACTATTTTTTTAACCAGGACATAGTGAACCATGGCAGGACAATGAAATTATAATTGGTTCTAATTAGCACTCTTCAAGCTGTTGATTTTTAAATTTTTTCATTGTTTTTGTTGTTAACCTGCATCTATATCACACAGGAAGAAAGGTAAAAACTATCTTAGGATATAACACAAAGACGACCAAAATTCATGGATGGCTCTTTCAGTTTGAGTGAATATCTCTGAAGCTTACATTTGTGTGTGCGTGTGTGTGTGTGTGTGTGTGTGTGTGTGTGTGTGTGTGTGTGAAGGCTGGGGGTAGGGTGGTGGATGAACTCTGAAATAAAAGTTTATTTTAAATTGCAATATTTTTCTCAAGAAAAAGCATGTCACTGTAACAGCTACGCTCTTTTTGTTATTGTTGTTATCATTTATAGCTACATAGGGAGTGGGGTCATTAACTTGAGTCAAATGTCACAATTTCTGCAAAAGCTTTGAGCTTTCTTACTTTGCTTTGTTTCAAGAATTGCTGGAAATCTCTCTGATTCTAGCTCCAGTTGTCTTCAGTGAGGCCTGCCACACATGTGAGAGGAACATGAAACTGATTATCTTCTTTGTACAACGCTAGTTGACATAAAAAATATTAGATATCTGTTTCTCTTACATACGTCAAAAATAAAAAAAACACAGTCTTTCAAATGCACGGTCATACTGTGTAACAAATTGAAATCTCTATGAAATTATTTTCTGTGTGCTCGGGTTCACCTCTATTTTTTAAATGTGAATTTTTCAATGTCAAAACTTTGCAAAATATCTGAACAGATATGACAACTGGAGCTGTTCTTTCAGGCTTATTTTCTCTATAATGCCAATAGGCTCTTTAACAACCAATTTTCATCGAGGGCTTACTTTTATAATAATATGTTTTACTTTATTTACATTTGTTTCATACAGAATTTATTACAAACTTAGTTTCTAATAATGTTGTCTTTAAGAAATTGTTCATAAATATAATCTCTTACAGCAGGTTTCTTCCAGTTGATCCTTTAACCACAATTTTCCTCTTTCAGTCTCATCTCACAGTTATCCTTTTGTCAAGTTTACACTAAATTTGCAAAATTACTTGATTTGCACAAATGTTGAATTTTATTCCAATGTTAGTGTTTTTTCTCAAATTAAATATACATTTTAATCTGAGTAAAAATGCCAAAGGAAAAAATATAAAAAGTGGTTTTTATGGAAATTGTGAAATTTTAAATAATACAGTAACTATTAACTATGTCTACTATCCTATTAACTTGCAATAATATGTCTTCCAAGTGATGAACAAGAAAAAATGTTCTTTGTAATATAAATAAAATGTGCAATTTCAGAAGAAAGTTCTAAACAGGTTTAAATGTCTTCAGTATTCCCCTTAAGGAAGCTGAATTACGTAGCATCATTTTTAACAGTAAAAATAATACTATGACTCTTCAATATATTTTAAAGTAAATATTTTCATTCATACACAAGATATAAAAATGCATATTAAATCAGTTTAGGCAACCAAATACATCCCATTAATAACACCTCATTTTATATGGCTTGAGAGCTTCAAAAGATTGATAAATTCATTTCAGAAAAAAATGTAACAACGAGACAAGTTAAAAAGAAAATATCAATTCAAAAACAGATCTAATTTAATTTTCTTGTTTTTATGACCCTGATGACATATTGGCTACAGAAAATATTTCAATTATAATTTATATACTTTAATAGAATAAGTAGAAAGTAAAAGATTGTTATCAAATGATGATTGTTTCTTCTTAGCCTTATTTTTCACTAAAATGCAAACAGATTTTTCCAGGTTATTGTGTCTTATATTATGTGTAGGATCTTAAATGATGCTCAAATTTTCATCTGTCTATGGAAGCATGTTTTGGCACATACTCTGCATCCTGTATTTTCCGGTTAACTAATTTTTATTCTTCCTTCTTAGTTGTAAATATCAATGAAGCAAATATATACACATACATATATTGGTATAACTATTTATAGGATATATATTTTAATTTCTATGAAGTATTTCATTTTTTGCATTTATGTCAAAGTTGAGTTGTCTTAAAAGGAACTCCCCATTGTCTCTCTACATGTGTTCTAATGCATTGCCTCATAGCCAATCATGAAATCTGCAGAAGATACCAAATTGAAATTGCTGGGGACAATTGAGTAAGGCCACATGGGTTTTGACTCTGGTTTTTGTTGTTTGGAAGTGTCCAGTTTCTAAACAATGTGCTAATCCTGGAGAGAGCAAGCCATCTTCAATTTAACTATATAAAATACAAATAAAGCCAGGTTATATGTTTCTGTGCAAAGAAAATAAAGGTAAAATAAAAAATAAAAACGAGCTATGAGGGCTTGCTAATTTTTTGCTTATATTTTACTTATATTTTGTTTTCTTGACTTAAATGTATTATTGCCTAGGAAACTACATAAACTTCTGAGTGTCTCAGTTTCTCTATAAAAATAAAAAAAAACACCACCTGCCCTCTCTCTGCCACTCTCGTTTCTTTTTTAAAATCACAGAAGTATTAGAAGAATTAATGAAATCAGTTTTGCAAAAGCACATTCAGCCCTGGGGTAGAAAATGCTCTGAGGAAATATAACATGATAATATCAAAGAAAATGTCTCTGTAACAACAACAAAAAAGCTATAGGTATGTGTATGAGGTGAACAAAACAACTAGTGTACATGCAAAGAAAGCATGTCTTAAGGTATCTAACTGCACTGTCTGCAAACCTGAAGCTCTGGAGGTTCCTTTCTTGATTGCCAGTTAATGCTAAGGATTATACAACTTCAGTAACTGAAATAGCTTAATTGCTATAAATATTATTTGCCAAAGCTTAATGTGAAACTGTTTATTTCCAGTTAAATTAGAGCAAAATTTTATGTTATGAAGAGATAGAATAGACATTGTCTTATGCTTTTGCTATTGGCAGTGGTAACAGATATTATATGCTGTTTTGCCTTTTCTGTTTAATGATATGTGTGTGTGTAATTTAAGTTATATGTTTAAATATAACATATGTATCTTAGATGTGTGTAAACTTCAGAAAGTGCATATATCCAAAAGCTGACCTACTAGATTTTCAATCTCTTCATTTTTAAACAAGAACTTTAACAAAATTCGATATTTCAAAATAAAGTAAATGAAATATAAGACAAGTGTATTTATTGAAATTGACAACCTCAATTAGTATGAACATCAAATATACATACCTATAAAATATTGCATAGGAAACATTTAAGATTTATACATATTGATCTAATTAGCCATTTTAGTTTACCCAGTCAAGATACAATCTCACACTCTATTCTGTTAAACAAACAATAGTAGTGAAAGAGATTTCCCCTTGCCTTCAAAATAAAATATACTACTAATTTTTCATAGCTCCAGAATTTAAATAAGTAAACACATATTGTGTACTGTATTACATTTTATAGTTACACTCAGCATATCTCATTTGTAGAGAAATCTTATTCAAATTTCACAGAGTTTAGTGTGAATGAGAACGTAAGAGTACATTACAAAAGTCAAAGGGAACCAAGGTGGAATAAAGCTGTGGCTTCAGCATTTCTAAAGAGAGAACAACCCTTCTAAACAAGCTTATTTGATTTGGGAATTTTCCAAGCTTGCTTAACATGAACTACATTTTAATTCCAGAATAATCAGCCAGAGGGAATGGTTTTATAGTCGACACATAAGGTTTGAAATACTTGGACTTCCTGCAACTACAGGTTCAAATCCCTGCAGTGCTCCATTCTTCGGTGGTGGCTGAGTTAAGTACCACGCACGTGTATACACATGTGTGAGGGGATGTTTTACAGATGAGGCGTCCAAAACGAGAGCATTGGTTGCACTGTGTGAGGATCTCATTGCAATTTTCCAAAGAACAGAGTGTGTGGCTCATGAATGACTGCAGCTTCTGGGAATCTTGCCAAAAACCTAGGGCAACAGAGAGTGTGGCTTTGCTCTAAAGGAGATTAAACTCCCTATTTAAAAGCTCCCTATACTCCACTATTGTGAGGGTTACACGCATTACCTTTTCCATGTGAGATGGTGAGTTAATACACATGCCTAAATGCAATATCTTAATTGTCCTCTCTCTCCTTGTCTGACAGAGTTGGTAGACTTGCCACCACACACAGCATTCAAGGTTATTGATTTTCAACAGCACACACAAAGGCTATTGCAAGGGAAAATATTATATGCAGTGGATGGATAATCCTATAAAAGGCAAAAAGTGAACCATAGGAGTTAGTTTAGTAAGAACATAAAAATAAATATTTTTAGTAAGCTAAGGTAATGAGATGAATTTATCTGTGATTCATTTAGTTGCATGTTTTGTAACTATGGCCTGTGACATCAATATCACTATTTTTCACAAGGATTAGATAGGAAAATATGAATAAATCAAAACTTGATACATAACTTGAGCTTGTCCCCTATTATACACTGTTAAAATAGTTACATTTATATATCTATGAGGAATTAGACCAACAAAAACTAGCTATCAGATTAACAAAACTATGTCTTTCTAGCTTATCAATCAGCTTATCAATAGCTTATCTATTTAGTCTCAATCAGTATAACCTCTCTCTCTATATATATGTGTGTGTTTATTTATATATATATATATATACATATGTGTATAATAAACTTTTATATGGCCCTTATATATATTTAGTGGAGAAATTTGTTTTATTTAACAAATCATTTAATAAACCCAATTTATTTTATAACATTTAACATTTAACATTTTTGAAATTATTCATAAAGAATGTGAGATAGGAAATAATGAGTAACAAACAATGTTTCTCCTGCTGTTGGTGTTTTCTTAATAACATTTTTATTTTTTTATTTTTGGAGTCATAATTTAATCATGCTGTGATATTGCAAGTGTCTAACATGAAATAAATCATGGAATAAATATGATATAGGCTTCTAACATCCTTTCTTCCTTCCTTCCTTTCTCTCTCTCTTTCTTTCTTTCTCTCTCTCTCTTTCTTTCTTTCTTCTTTCTTTTTTTGTTTTTGAGAGGGAGTTCTGCTTTTGTTGTCCAGGCTGGAATGCAATGGCACGATCTCCGCTCACTGCCACCTCCGCCTCCCTGGTTCAAGCCATTCTCCTGCCTCAGCCTCCCCAGTAGCTGGGATTACAGGGGCATGCCATCACACCCAGCTAATTTTTGTATTTTTAGTATAGATGGGGTTTCATCATGTTGGCCAGGCTAGTCTCGAACTCCTGACCTCAGGTGAACCACCCGCCTCAGCCTCCCAAAGTGCTGGGATTACAGGCATGAGCCACCATGCCTGGTTTCTAATTTTTTCTAATTTTTAATAAGTCCACTAAATTATTCACCTGAGAAGTAATGTAATGACATCTCAGCTCACAGAATCCCTATGAATTGCAGTTGATGTAATGAATGCAAATATTCTCTGAAAAATATAAAGCATTGTGAAAGTATGTTTTTTTCCTAAACTTGGAACTTGTATTAAAATTAGCAGTTTTTGAAGCAGCCAAAGAAAATAATAAAATATGACATAAGATAGTGAACATACAAGTATTCCAATTGAATCATTACATTGTAAAACAAATCATGGTAAATATAGTTAATTTACATTTAGCTTTAGGGGTCTCACCATTGGTGACACAATATGATTTTCCAGAATGTTAGTTTTGTGATTTTTAAAAATCTGGTTGTGGATATAGACTATTAGAACAAGTCTGGGTGTGTGTGTGTATGTGTGTATACATATATATATATATGTTTTGCATATAGGTATACAAACATATATATATATATATTGTACAGAGTCTCATTCTGTCACCCAGGCTGGAGTGCAGTGACATGATCTTGGCTCGCTGCAGCCTCTGCCTCCGGGTTCAAAAGATTTTCATGCCTCAGCCTCCGGAGTAGCTGGGATTACAGGCTCACACCACCACTCCTGGCTAATTTTTTTGGTTGGCACAGCTGGTCTCTAACTCGTGGCCTCAAGCGATCTGCCCGCCTTGGTCTTCCAAAGTGCTGGGATTACAGGTGTAACCTACCATGCCAGGCCTTGAGTATTTTACATTATTATTTTTTAAAGAACATTGGTTTGGCGTAGTAGCAAGTTCAAAAGCTCTGAGTGAGACACAAGTCTTCAGATTTGTTTCGCCAGTTGCTTTATATACCAAAGGTTTGAAGATACGAAGCTACAGGATCCTTAGCGTGTCACTTCCCTAGCCGGAAACCTCTGTGGCTGGCATTGCCTCTGATCGGGTTTTGTTTGCACCCCCTGGGCTCCTTCAGCCCCTTTGGCCCAGTAGGCTGAGCTCAGTTTGCGTGAAGGGCCCGGATCCCACGCCCGCCAAGGGCAAGCCAGACCCAGAGCGGCAACGGGTGTATGAGCAAGTGAACGAGCGTGGGGTCCTGCCCTGCCACTGTGCCCAGCCAGGCACGCCGCACCGGCTCTGGTGTGGCGAGCTGTGTTGGGCTGTGGTGGGCCCGGCAGCTCCAGGCGCCAGCACAGGCGCTGGCTCTGTGTGAAGCTGTGGCTGGACCAGAGGTACAACAAGCTGCTTCCGCTGCAGGCACCCTCATCTGGACAAGGGGAACGTGATGGCACCTGAAAGGTCAGAGATGCCAGGAACTGCAGAGCACCTAAGCGGGTGTTACAGCGTGTCACAGCCCTGGCTCAGGAAGCCCCAAGGTCTGGGCTCCCAGGAGGGCCGTAGCTATTCTCTCCTTCTCGTCACCGTAAGGTGGCAAATGGTTGGGGGCAGGGTGTAGTGTTTCAGACCTATTTGTGTTACAGCTCTTTTTTTTTTTTGTTTTGTTTTTGTTTTTGGAGACAGAGTCTGTCTCTGTCGCCCAGGCTGGAGTGCAGTGGCGCTATCTCGGCTCACTGCAACCTCTGCCTCCCGGGTTCAAGCGATTCTCCCGCCTCAGCCTCCCGAGTAGCTGGGCTTACAGGAACCTGCCACCACGCTCGGCCTTTTTTTTTTTTTTTGGTATTTTTAGTACAGATGGGGTTTCACCTTGTTAGCCAGAATGGTCTCGATCTCCTGACCTCGTGATCCACCCACCTCGGCCTCCCAAAGTGCTTGGATTACAGGCATGAGCCACCGCGCCTGGCCTGTGTTACAGCTCTTTCAGTCCCACCATTCGGTGGGTCCCGAGTTCTTGTCCCGCATCAGGGGGGAATGAGGTATGCAGAATGAGCAAGGGAGAGAGGAGCTTCATTGAGCTACATAACAGCTCTCAGGAGACCCAAAGTGGGTAGTTCCTTTCTGCATCCATGTATTCCGGACGTGTGTCTGAGTCTGGCTGAGTCCTGGGATTTTTATGGACTCAGAAGGGAGGAAGTACGTGATGATTGGTCCATAGGTGGCCATGGGTAGCTGGAAGAAGCACCATAACTTCTCACTCCAGGCGGTGGACTCCACCCAGAACTGGCAGTTCAACCCCAGGCTTCAGACTGTTGCTGGCTTGAAGGTGGGGATTTTACTGGGTACCATTCCTTTCTGCCTAGGAACCTGTCTGCCTCCTGTCATCAACATACTGTCCATGGTGCTCAGGCTGTTCATGCCAAGGGGTGCCTGCTGGCTCTTGCGGAGCTGCCCTCAACCCTCCTCCCCTCCCCCCGCACTCGTCAGAGCTCAAAGTCCAGAGAGGGTCAAGGTGACAGGGGGTTTGCATGGCAGCCTGCCCCGGAGTGCACACACACACCTGGCCAGGTCACACAGCAGCACCTGGGCTCCGCCGCCACCACTTCGCTCTGCACTGGGGTGAGCACTCGGAGTGGGGAGAGGCCAGGGAGTAAGAGCAGGTACTTTTGAGACTCTAGGGGCCAAGGGCTTCTCGGGACCCCGGGAGCACAGGGATGCCCGGGTCTGAAGCCACAGCTGGGTAGCTGCAGCTTTGCCCAGGAGCCTTGGGCTTCCATTCGGCCAACTTGGTAGGGGGCAGGGCTCCCACCTGTTTCTGGCTCCCGCTGGCTCCATGGAAGACACAGCCCTGGCCATGCCTCCCCCGCTGCAGCTGGCGTCCTGCAGTGGCTTCTCCAGATGGGCCACTGCCATCATCAATTATTCACAGATGACATAATTATCTATATGTAAAAAACAAAAATATAGAAATAAACTGATTTCTAATAAAAAATGTTACTGAGTTGATTGTATTAAAAATCTTAACATAAATCTCAGTTGCATTTATCTACAGGAGCAAAAACTAAAATAACTCTGGGACAATATAATTTTCAACTTATGTTACTTGTAGCTACCTCAGAAACAAAGTAACTTGAATATTACTAGCATGCTTTTTCTGAAGAAAGTAAAAATGTTTTGTTGGAAGCATTAAGTAAGACCTAAATAAATGGACACATATGTCAGGTTCTTATATAGGAAGAGTCTATAACCTGTAAATGTCAATGCTCCCCAAACTAATTTATAGATTTAATACACTTAACATCAAAATCCCTACAGTTTATTTTGTGTATCATATCAAGAAGATTCTAAAATTTATAGTAAAGAGAAAGTGCCAGAATTTTCTAAGACATTCCTGTGAAGAACAGGAAAAGGGAATTGCATCATCAAATATTATAAATTATTATAGTCTTTTGATAAATAAGACAATAGTATTAGTCTAGGAACTAAGAAAACATCAAGTAGTAGAAAAAAAAGTCCAGAAACAATCCACATTATGCAGATTTTTGATATATCACAAATTGGGCTTTGTGGTTCTATGTAAATTGATGAAGTTTTAAATGGATGATGCTGATATAATTTATTATCTACATGGATTATAAGTGAAGTTGGAACCCTATCTTGTATTATGCACAAAAATTATTCCAGGTGGATTAAAAACCTTAGTTTTAAAGGAAAAACAATAAAACCTTTAGAAGTCAATACAGATGAATATCTTTATGACCTCAGTTGACATTAATTTTTTTAAGAATCAATGAGCAAAAGTAAAATAAAGATCAATTTGATATCACTAATGTTTAAAGTTATAGTTGTTCAAAATAGCATGTACAAAATAAAACAAGTTAGAGCAGAAAATAAATTGCAACATATGTAGCTGACCAAAAAAATGATGAATAAAAGAAAAATGATTATTCAAAGAGAAAGGGGCAAAAGTCCTGAATAGATATATGAAACGTGATCCAACAACACATTGATATTCTAAAACTTTTAATAAGCAGGGGAATGAAATGTAAGACCAATAAGATACAACTTCTCACCAACAATTTTGCAGAAAATTAAAAAAAAATTGACAATAGGAAGTAAAGATGAAGTTGTGGAGAAACTGGAACATTGTTATATTGTTGAAGAGTTTAAATTAGTAAAATCAGCAAATTTTGAGCAAATCGATGTCCCATAAAAATCTGATTTTTCATATTCACCCTAGGGGAAGGTGTACACCTGGAGACATGTATCAGTATGACCTTGGCAGTATTATTTGTCTTAGCCCCCCAAAAAAGAAATCAGTTGTTCTTCAATGGTAGCATACATAAGTAAATTATGATATATAAAGGAATTCTGTACTTAAGTAAAAGTGAACAAATGAGAATTATAAACAATAACATGATTGAATCTCAGGAATAACATCAAAGACACAAAAAGCATGTTGCAGAGAAACATAAGATTGCTTTAATTTATTATTAAAGTTAAAAATATTTAAAAATGTTTTATTAAGGGTAAAAATAATTTTAGTATAATAATAGATATAATCAAGAATACAAAAGGAAATTCAAGAAAGAAGTTGCCTCCCTAAGGAAAACAGGATGAGGTGGAAGAAAGTTATGCAAAGGGTTTCAATGTAATAGAAATATTTTATTTAAAGCAGATGGTTGGTGATGAGTATTCTTAGTATTATTCACCTATATGTTCAATGAATATATGTGAATGTAAATATTCTTTTTAATATTTCAATATTTAATAAATGTCTTGTATAGTACAGAAAAAATGACTTATCAAAGAGTCATACATTATTTTTTACTGAAAACATTTTACTCAGGCTGTCAAAACATTTGTCAGATTGGATCATTTGTACTTGGGCAACGATTTGGATACATTGTAGGCTTCTTTACTGACATGTGAATGGAAACTGTCACATTGAACTTTCCTGATAACATAAGAGGAAGCTGCACTGTAATACTTAATGGTATTAATAGTCAGGATGTTCTTGAAGACAGCATTTATTACATCATTCAGCGAACCCTCATTAGGACCAATGAAAGAAATTTTTCTTAGCACTTATTAAAAAAAAGCAGATAAGAATAATTAACTGTTGAATAAATTTCTCATGAATTAATATTGTAGACTTAGAAACAACTTCTGATAACTATATAACCTAGTCTAACTCTTTTCCTCATTTCTTCTGACTTTACGGCCTCACAGAGTCTATGTTGTGGCCAACTTTAAGCCACCAAATAAGAATTTAGTAGTTATTTTGTGTAATGTGAAATCGTATCTTTTATTTCACATTATTTTCCAGCATTTATTTTTATTTCCATAACTTTATATATTTTACTTTTATACTGTATCAAACATATATGTGTATCAGCTGTTGTCCATTCTGTTTTGAATGAATGAATTTCCAAGTACCTTTTTAAAATTGATTAAATGATATTTTAAATAGTGTGACTTGATCTTTTATCAATGAAAAATTGAAATCTGAGTTTTTGAGAAATTCTCCTGCATCGATGATATTGGCAAAGTAACAGCACTTTTTATACTAAATAATCAGAATGCAGATAAAATTTATATGTTGCTTATACAAATATGTTAAAAAGTGCTCTATATAAACATATTACATAAACATTTAGTTTTCCAACATTCTTAAAGACAGATAGCAAGAAGTAATATTTACAATAAAACTAATGTTCACTTAAAGCATGTAGGCATGTTTATTATGGAAAATAAGATATAAAGAAATAAAAATACTTAAAGATCTTTAGATAAAAACAATTTTTTTAAAAATCTATATCCCTTGATATTTTAAAAGTGGAATTGAGAGCTGTCTACTCAAATTGGCTCCAAATTTTTACTGGAGTCTTAATTCACATTTTTAAAAGTCAAACAAATTTTACAAACATTTTTGAAACTAACTCGATGACTTAAGCCATACAAACGCATCAACATATTTGTGCAGGGAGGCATAGCCAACTTTGTGGTGTTTGGTATCATGCAGATGGTGGCTTTCAGCATGAGCCTTTGCTTTCCTTCAGCAGTGATCAGGGAAGTATATACACTCCTCCTGGCTCAGTTCTGAAATAAGCTGTCAGACAAGGACCCCAATATCCATTATTGTGGTAAAGAAAGGTAGCACTGAACTTTTCATATAAACATAGATCATCATTGACATTTCATCCAGTAATAGGTCATGACAAAGTTTTGCCAGATCTCAGAATCAGTGCTATCATTGGGTCTTACTGCACAATGTCCTATGCATTTTCATAATGTGTTAGAGAAACAGCTTTTATGCAGTGTTTTCAATAATATTGTTTTCTCTCTGTGTCTGTTTCTCTGTCTGTCTCTCTCTCTCCTGCTTTGCTTTCTTTGCATTTTTTTCTTTATCTTTTCTTTCCATTTTTTAATGTCTTTTCTGCTGGTGATTTTCACTGTTATAATTCAATATGTTTATAAGTATCATGTTCTCATTCATACCAAAAGTTGTTTTCAAGCATTTTTATGTCTACTAATGAGTCATATCAACTAATAATTGGTATGTTCTAGTAATCTTTTTCAGCCTTGGAGATTTTCATAATTGATTCTGGTCACATTATTTTAATCTTTGCCCATAATTTTAAAATCTGTATTCCAGATATTATTATACAAAATAAGTCAATTTTAATTAAACTGTATGGAAATAGTAGAATAGATTCAAGACTGACTCTTATCACATGGCTCTAAAAGCTTTAGAAATACTCAGAGTGCTTCCAATCGGAAATATTTTTTGCCCAGTCTCAAGCTGTACCCAGCTTTGCTTTCACACTCTCTCTGGAGTCATTATACCAGTCAGACAATTAAAAGACATATATGTGTGTGTGTGTATATATATACACATATATATCTATACATATATATACATATATACATATATATGTATATATATATACACACACACACAGACACACACACGCACTGTATATATATATAAAGGGTATATATATATATATATAAAGGGTATATATATATATATAAAGGATATATATATATAAAGGGTATATATATATAAAGGATATATATATATATAAAGGGTATATATATATATATATATATATATATATATATATAATTTATTTACTCATTCCTTCAGGCCCAATAATAAAGTTGAGCTGTCTTTTTATAAATAAGCTTGCATTTGGGGTTCCATTCATTTTCATTTATTCATTATGTATTGAGAATGTTTTATATATCAGAAATTCTTCTATGTTTCATGAATATATTAGTTGGAAAAAAAATGTTGACTCAATTGAGCTTACATTTCATTGGCAGAAAAAATTAATTGCTTTCCATGTGCCAGGCACTAAGCATTTTTACATGCAATAACCCACTGCATTCTCAAATCAACCCTGGGAGTCACATAGTATTATCTCCATTTATTTACCCAATAACTGTTGCTTGCCTTTTATATGTCACACACAGTCACTACTCTTATTTTGCTTACAGCACAGTGGAAGATATACATATTAAATAAGACTTACAATAATGAATATATAATGTTTGTGGTATTTAACTTAAACAGAGAAGAATTCCCTGAAGAAGTTATGATTGAGGTGAAAACTGAATAAGTATTAAGAACGAAGCAGACAATTAGAGGTTATTCTAAGCATTCCCCACAGGGGGCATTACTGTATGTGAAGGCTCTTTCCTCAGATATTGACCCTTCAGACAAAGTCTACCATTTCATGGTCAGTAGGTATTTCATGTTTTCTTCAAAATAAAGCAGAATAAAGTATAGGATAGTATCAAGTTTTGTTTAATATAAAGCCTTGCTTAGTTAATAAATGATGCAGAGTAAGATAACTTGGAAACAGATTTATTGTTACAAGAAAATATTTGGTTTGGGCACATGCAAACAACCCAAGCATTTGTTTCAGTTGAAAACATTTGTTTCAGCAGAATATTTGGCTTTCATATTTGTATGTGAATTTTCGAATTGGTTTCCAATTGTAGCAAAGTTAGCATTTGGTTGGTGGCAGTTAGGATAGCCAGATGCTTCTGCACGTGTTTATGGAGTCCTGGGGGCTCTCTCAAGGTTCAGGGCCTCTTACCGTGTTTTCACTGGTTTTCTGATGGAAGATTTGTCATGTAGTTGTAAACTAGAATTACCCAGACTTTCATTTAAACAAAAATAAAAATTTAGAAAAACTCACCAAAAGTGAAAAATAGCCTCCACATCCTTAATAAAAATATTTATGCTTTCCTGATTCTTAAACATTCAAGAGACAGAATACATGTTTAATTATATCTGTATTTATTTACCATTCACAAAAGTGTTTTTTTAAACAGTCCATAAACTTCGACCTTAGAGATAAGATCAAGTATGGCAAACTGGAGTTTAACATTTGTTCAGGTTAATAGCAGGATAGTTGTATGTAAAGACTCCTCATTTCTCCTTATGTTTATAATACAGAAAAGTCAAGTTTCTGCTAATTGAAGAGAAATCTAGCGTAAAATATTGGGAAGTTATGGAAAGTTCCAGGTTGCCTCTCATATCTGTTCACTCATTTTCCTTTGTATATGAATGCCCAGTGATATACAAAATCTTCCAGGCCCCCTGTGGCTAGACATGGCCATATGATTATCACCAAAAAGATAGAAAAAGAAGTCCAAAACTTCCATTTGGTCAACTTTATAAAATGTATTGTCCTGGAATTCCTGCCTGTCTTTTCCTCTACCTACAAGCTGAACATGGATGTAAAACTAATCTAGGATAAACAATGAAGCCAAGAACAATGTCATCGGCCTTAGAATGACAATATAGTAGATTGTACCATGACAGAGAAGTCACCTGTTTTAGTAAAGCTGTTGTACTTTGGCGCCTGCTTTTTATAACAATCTAGCACTTGCATGAACTATTATGATAAATATGATACTAACCCAGTTATCAAGTTGGTAATTTTGTAATAGTGGGAGCTGTTTCCTATATCGATAATAAAGACTATTTTTAAGTGTAAGACAATATCTGAATGTATAAAAATATTACTTATATCAATTCCCACTGTTTAAGTAACTAAATCTCAGTACATGTATATGTGTATCTGTGTGTGCATGCAATTCCATGTATATAGATCTACATAAAATTTTACCCAAGATTTCTTACACAATGTAAAACTTTTAGTTTTTAGTATAACTAAAATAAAAATAAATTTGCCAAAAATTATTATAATATATGAACCATTTTGCTGAAATATTGAAATAAAAGAAGATACATTATAAAATTTAATTAAGGAAACTTATTAAAACCAAAATTAATAAAGAAATAAGTATTTTATCTTAAATTGAACCTAGAATTTGACAGATCATATCCTCAAGGATAAATTAGTTTCCACAGCAGGGATAATAAAGTGAAAATAAAAATGCACTGAAAAATGCAATGTTTTCTGTAGTAAATACCACAAATTATAGAGAATGTCAAGAAACAAGCAATCTAAGGCGACCCAGTTATAAATATCCAATATATTCTGAAGCTAAATAATAAACATTTAAAAATAACTGAAAAACATATTTCAAGCCAGTTTCCTATATCAGAATGTAGTTCTGCTACATGTTAATTTTTTATAGATATGTTTAAAATACATATTAATTTTATGACTCAATGCAAAAACATTTAGATAATACAATATCTACATTAATTAATATACCTGCAATTAAACAGAGATGAAACTCCTACCTGAAAATGCCTATTATGAAAAACAAAACAAAACAAAAGTGCAGTCAAAGAAAACGCAGGTACATTCTGGTCTCTCTGGCCAATAAAACAGAAAAAGGAGTAAACTGATAGAGATCTGATGGGAAATTCAACGTCTAGTAGCTGTATTAGCCACATCTGCTCTCTGTCCCTGGCTTCACACCTGCGACAATGGAGCTGACTGCTCAGTGGCAGTGATACTACCAGCAGCAGAATCTGGGTGGGCCAGCTCACATTCTTCCCTGGGTCCTCCAGCCGAGGCAGTCCAATGTGCCTGTCATTCCCACCCAAACCATGTCCCACATTTGTTAGCAGCAGATGGGCTTTTCCAATTGCACTGGAAGTGCCAACAGGTCTGGTGTTTTTTCATCTTCTGCCCAACAATAAAAAGCAATACTCTTAGCCCTCCACTATAATGGAAGAAGTAGTTCTAAGTCAGGCATCAATTTGTCCTCTATCCAGTGGGTTAAAGATAGTTCAGGTAGGCACCTCGCTCCCTTTGGTGCCACGCCAGCGACATAATAGGAAGTCCAGTGCTCTGCATGCAATATTCTCCATCCTGCACATTCAGCATCTCCTACGTAAGAGATCTGGGTGCTTAGGGAAGCAACTTCCACCTGTGCCATCAGTACCAGCAGGGAATAGCGAGACATTAAGCTGAATCAGAACAAAGCAGTTCAGAATAGCATTGTGAGGGCTCAGAAAACTAAATTGTTATTGGAATTACACCCCACAAAACTAGACCAGTACCTGTACACTAAACCTAAGTAAGACAACTGCCTGTTAAAATTGAAGATTTAAATAGGATTAAGAGTCTCCTAACATACAATCTAAAATGCCCAGTATGCAGTCAAAAATCACTCATCATACCAAGAACTAGAAAAAATCAAAACTTGAATGACAAAAAGAAGCCAACCAATTGTTGCCGACATAGACACAAATATATTAGAATTGTATATCAAAGATTTCAAAGTAGTTATCACAAAAATACTTCAATAATTAATTACACATTTCTTGAAATCAATGAAAAAAATGAAAATGTCATTAAATAAATAGAAGTTATAAGATAGAATCAAATGGGAATTATGGAATCAAGAAATGTAATAACCAAAATAAAAACCCATCAAGTGAATTTTTATTTGGTTATTGCATTTCTTGGTTCCATAATTTCCATTTGACTCTATCTTATACCTTCCATTTGTTTAATGGGCTCAGTAGTAGAGTGGAGATGACAGAAGATAGAAGCAGTAAACTTAAGGGGATCAACAGAATTTACTCAATCTCAATCACAGACTAGACTGAAAAAAAACTGAACACAGTTTCAGGGACATGTGGAACAGAACATAATATCAAACATTTCTATTATTGGAGCCTCAGGCAAAAAGAAGAAAGAATATAGGTATAAAATATTCAAAAATAATTGCTGAAAACTCCCCAAATTTGGCAAAAAATATGTGAATTTACAGATTCAAGAAGCTAAGTGAATCCCATACAAGGTAAATTCAAAGCAATCCTCTCCGTGACACATGATAAGTGAACTTCTAAAAATGAAAGACAAAGAAAGACATCTTAAAGGCAACCAGAGAGAAATGATGCATTATCTATAGCAAAAAAAAAAAACAAAACTTATTCAAATAAGAGTGAAATTCCAATTTGACCATGAAGGTCTGAAGAAAGGGGCACAATATTTTTAAGTGCTGAAAGGAAGAAGAACTGTCAACCACAAATTCAGTATCTTGCAAAACTGTCCTTCAGGGTTGATGGGGAAATTAAGATATTCTCAGGCAAAGAAACATTTAATTTTATCCTAGCAATTTACCCTTAAGGAATGGCTAAAAAATCTATCCAATTAGAATGAAAAAGATGACAGAAAGTCTGCGATTTCATTTAAAAATAGGTATATTAGGGAAAATATATTTTTTCTCCTCATGAGTTTTAAAAATCATATTAGATGGCAGAAGCAAAAATCATGTGATGGCCAGTGTATGCAGAGAAATAATTGAGACAAATTTTTATAATGGGGAGGGACAGAGATATTAATAGAACTACAGATTCAGTAGTTACTTAAAGTGGTAAAATATCACTAGACATGGTATTGTTCACCTGTAATCCCAACTACTCATGAGGCTGAGGTGAGATAATTACATGAACTCAGGAGTTCAAACCCATCCTGGGCAACAGAGACAGAGCCTTGTCTCAAAAAAAAAAAAAAAAAAAGTAAAATGTCAGTAACTGTTGGTTGTGTTAAGTTATATATATGTATATTGTACAGCTTAGAACAATCATTAAGATAACTATACAAAGTGATATATTCGAAAACAATTAAAAATATAGAATTCTATAAAATATTCGTGTAATCCAAATGAAGGGAAGAAAAGAAAAATAAAGAATGAGAAATAGAGAAAATAGAAATAAACGAAATCACATATTTATGCAGTACCACAACAAAAAATTACTTAAATGTAAATTATGGAAATACACTGATTAAAAAACAGAGATTGACAGAGTGGATTTTAAAAAAATCCATGTTTTATATGCTGTATTCAAGAAATTCGCTTCAAACACAATGTCATATGCAGGATGAAACTTAAAGGAAAAAGATAAACCATGTTAACATTAAAAAAATAAATTGAGTGACTATATTAATATCAGATAAAACAGGTTTCAAAGCAAAGAAAATTATCAGTTATAAAATGATATGTTATAATGATAAAATAATCCATTAAAATGTTTCTATTGACTGAATTATGTTCATCAAAATATATATCTTGAAGCCCTAATGCCAGTGTGACTGTATTTGGAAATAGAGCCTTTAAATAGGGAATTAAGGTTAAATGATGTCAGAATAGTGACACTAATTCAATATGATTGGCATCCTTAAAAGAAGAAGAGACATCAGGGATGTGCATTCACAGAGAATAGGCTATGTGAGTACATCACAAGAAGGAAGCTCTATCTGCAAGCCAAGAAGAGAGCCCTTAGAAGAAACAAACTTGCCAATACCTTAATCTTAGACTTCTAGCCTCCAGAACTGTGATAAAATAAATTTCTGTTGTTTAAGCCTCATTGCTTGTGTCTTTTTGTTATAGCAGCCCTAGCAAACTAATACAGAGGTCATAGTGATCATTAATGGGTATATACCACACAATAGATCTTCTAAACACAGGAAAGAATAAAAGAGTTAGAAGGAGGAATAGACAAATCTACAATTGTAGTTGGAAACTTCAACACCCCACTCTCAGTAATACAATCAATAGACAGAAAACTAGCAAA
Organism: Homo sapiens; assembly: GCF_000001405.40. NCBI lineage: Eukaryota > Metazoa > Chordata > Mammalia > Primates > Hominidae > Homo > Homo sapiens. Next base: position 95,073,303 of record NC_000006.12, on the reverse strand, counting down.
GACAAAGAAGAGCTGAACAACACCATCAACTGATAGGAACTAACTGACACATACAGAACTCTTTAATCTACAAGAGCAGCATGTACATTTCCTTCAAGTTCCCATACTTCATTTCATATGGTGAAAACACTCACCAATATAGATTATATATTGGATCATAAAACAGTCTAAACAATTTAGAGAAATTAAAAACTATGTGGAGTATCTTCTCCAACCATAATGTAATCAAACTAGAAACTGGTTACAGGAAAAAAAAATCTTAAAACATTTGGAAACTGAGCAAAACATTTCTAAATAATCTGTGAGCCAAATAGGAAGTTTCAAAGGAAACAAAAAATTCATGAAATTAAATGAGAATTATAATACAATGCATCCATATAGGTGAGATACACCTAAAGCACTTCTGAGAAAAAAAATTATACAATCGTTTACATCAGAAAAAGAAACAATTTCAAATCAATAACTTAAATTCCTATTTTTAGTATTACAACAAAGAAGAGTAAATTAAGCCAAAAACAGGGAGAAAGAAGAAATAGTTAGAAAATAATAGCAAAATTGGTCGGGCGCGGTGGCTCATGCCTGTAATCTCAGCACTGTAGGAGGCCGAGGCAAGCAGATCACGAGGTCAGGAGATTGAGACCATTCTGGCTAACACAGTGAAACCCCGTCTCTATTAACAATACAAAAATTAGCTGGGCGTGGTGGCGGGCGCCTATAGTCCCAGCTACTTGGGATGCTGAGGCGGGAGAATGGTGTGCACCTGGGAGGCAGAGCTTGCAGTGAGCCGAGATCGCGCCACCGCACTCCAGACTGGGCTGCAGAGCGAGACTCCGCCTCAAAAAAAAAAAAAAAAAAAAAAAAAAAAAAAAAAAAAAAGAAATAATAGTAAAATTAATAATACAATTAAGATTATGGAAATAATAAAGGAAAATCAATGAAACAAAAAGCTAATTATTTGAAAATATCAATAAAATAGATAAACCATTAGCAAGAATGATAAAGGTAAAAAGAGAAAAATGCAATGAGTAATAGCAGAAATGTATCACTAAGGATCCTGAACTTACTGAAGAGATAATAAGGAAATTCTATAAACAATTTTGAGGTACAACTTGACAACTTAGAATAATGAACTGATTCTTCAAAAACTGCAAAGTACCAAAATTCAATCAAAATAAATTGATACAGTATTATAATCATTAAACATTTTGAATTTCTAATTAACACCTTTCCTAGAAAGAAATATTTGAGTCCACATGGCTTCACTGTTAAATTTTACTAAACATTTAAAGAAGAATTGACACCAATTTTATGTAACCTTCTGCAGAAAACAGAAGAGAATACTTTCCAACTCATTTCATGAGATGAGTATTATCCTGATATCAAAACTAAAGACAGTACAAAGAAAATAAAAGGAAGAAGGGAAGGAAGGAAAGAAAGAAGAAGAAACAAAGCAAAGAAAGAAATAGAAAAGAAAACTGCAGAACAATATCTCTCATAAACCTAGACCCCGAAATTCTTAAAATATTAGGCAGTTAAATTCAGTAAATTTTAACAATAATTCTGTGTGATAACCAAGAATTTAACACTATTCTACAACAGATTTTTTATTGACCCATGAAGAGTTGGTTTACCATTTGAAACAACACTATACTGTATCATATCAACAGGCTAAATTAGAAAAAAACCTGATTATATTAATTGGTACAGAAAAAGCATTTAATGAAATTTAATACACATTTATGATGAAAAAAACTTTTGGCAAACTAGGAGTAGAAAATAATTTCCATGACTTCACAGAGAGCATCCACGAAACACGAACAGCTGGTTTTATAATTAATAGTGAAGACTGACTCCTTTCTCACCGACATCAGGAACAAGGTGACGAATGACAATTCTCACCATTCTTATTCAACATAGAACTGAATGTTGTAGTCACTGAATTAAATAAAAAAAGGAAAGAAAAGAAAACAAAAAACATCTAGAATGGAATAGAAGAAACAAAACTTTCCCCAATTTCAGGTGACGTGATTGTCTACATAGAACTTCCTAAGGAATATATATATATACATAGGAATATATCTATATGTATATATAGGAATATATATATACATATGGGAATATAGATATAGGAATATATATATATAGGAATATATATAGGAATATATATATAGGAATATATATAGGAATATATATAGGAATATATATAGGAATATATATAGGAAAATATATAGGAATATATATAGAAATATATATAGGAATATTATATATAGAAATATATATAGGAATATATATGTGAATATATGTATAGGAATATATATATGGGAATATATATATGTGAATATATATATGGGAATATATACATATGGGAACATATATATGGGAATATATATATGGGAATATATATGTATGGGAATATATATATGGGAATATATATATATGGGAATATATATATATGGGAATATATATATATGGGAATATATATATATGGGAAAATATATATATGGGAATATATA